>NC_000012.12:114278309-114429824 GCF_000001405.40 Homo sapiens
CATAAAGGAAACTAATTTGAAGCGAAAATCAGTGCAAAAGATTAGGATTAGAAATAAACTGAATATCCAATCATATGAAATGGAAGTTTATCCATAGGCTAAGTCTGCAGCCATTGAAGCCATGTCTTTTAACATTTTTGAGTGATCAGGAGAAGGGCTCAGCATAAACTAAAAAAGAAAACTCTTGGAGGTGGAGATATGAGGGGAGAAGGGAGAATCCAGAAGAGAAAACATGAAAATATTTATTAATGGCAATTTGTATTTTCTTTGTAATTTTCTTGATGTTTCCAAATTATTACAATGATGATGCACTACTTGATTAACAAAAAAAAACTCTAATTAATTTTTTAAACAACTAAGGTGAAAAAGCCTGATCTTTCTTGAGTTCCACATAGAATGAAATACAGAGATAAATAGTAACTTAAAATTAACTTGAATGCAATTCTTCCACCAATGCTAGCTGAAGAAGCACATTTTTTCCATAGGAGGAAGAGAGACAGGATGAAGTCTTCTAGCCAATGGATGAACTTGAACTGTTTTTACATTTCCTATGATTGGATATTTAGTTTATTTCTAATCCTATCTACAGGATAAATACAGAGGTACAATTAATAGCCTCTGCTCTATGGTGGCTCACACTAAGGGAGGAGACCATCCCTCATATTGTCTTATGCCCAATTTCTGCCTCCAAAGAAAGAAGAAGTAAAAACTAAAGGCAGAAATGAAATCCACAGGCAGACAGCCCGGCGCCACACTCTGGGCCTGGTTAAAGATCGACCCCTGACCTAACCGGTTATGTTATCTATAGATTCCAGACATTGTATGGAAAAGCATTGTGAAAATCCCTGTCCTGTTCTGTTCCAGTCTGATTACCAGTGCCTGCAGCCCCCAGTCATGTACCCCCTGCTTGCTCAATCGATCATGACCCTCTCACGTGGACCCCCTTAGAGTTGTAAGCCCTTAAAAGGGACAGGAATCGCCCACTCGGGGAGCTCGATTGTTGGAGATGTGAGTCTTGCCGAAGCTACTGGCCGAATAAAGCCCTTCCTTCTTTAACTCGGTGTCTAGGGGTTTTGTCTGCAGCTTGTCCTGCTACAACACCTATAATCTCAACACTTTGGGAGGCCAAGGCAGGAGCATCACCTGAACCTAGGAGTTTGAAACCAGCCTGGGCAACATACAGAGGCCCTGTCTCTACAAAAAAATTTAAAATTAGCCAGGTATGGTCCTATATCCCTGTAGTTCTAGCTACTCAAGAGGCTGAAGGAGGAGGATTATTTGAGCCAGAGAGGTTGAGGCTGCAGTGAGCTATGAATTTGACATTGCACTCCAGCCTGGGTGACAGAGTGAGACCCTGTCTTTTAAAAAAAAAAAAGAAAAGAAAAAGAAAAAGTCTCCACTCTAGGACCAACAAATTGTATCTGCTCTCCCCTCTGAGTACCAAACACCCTAGTCCCTCTGAATGTTAAACTCCAGCACGATTCTAAGGTCTTGCATTCACAAAGCTCCTCTGTTCTCCATCTACATCTGTCCCACCCATGCTCTCTGATGAGCTAGCGAGATGGGTGATATGGACAGAAAGGTGTATCTTTCCTTGCACAGAGAAGAGCATCATTAAGTCTGAGATCCCATGATTTCCATCATCTAGCAATTAAAGGCATTTTAATCGCTCCTTTCATATGTTACTATACACCTCCAGGAGGCCATAAAAACTGATCGTCTTAAAACGGACAGTGAGTATGAGCAACAGTGGCTGATATCATGATAGCACCTTCAGAAGGGCTTCTGAAGCAATGACCTCGAATTGAGATCTCTTTCTGGAGACATCTTTGGAGGGAGTCAACTAGCAATTAATTAGTAATGACTAAACTGCCTACTATGTGCCTATCACTAAGGGGAGTTTTGAGAGAAAGGTAAGCAGTGGCAAATGTGTCCCAACCCACAAGGAGCTCACACTTGGCCAGAGGACATGAGTTGGCTGGATGTTAACAAGATGAACAGGCAGACAGACAGACAGTTGCAACAAGCATACATCATTCATCTAGAATGCGAGAAGCTGGGTGCAGTGGCTCTTGCCTGTAACCCCAGCACTTTGGGAGGCTGAGGCAGGTGGATCACTTGAGCTCAGGAGTTCAAGACCAGCCTGGCCAACATGGCAAAACCCCATCTCTACAAAATATGCAAAAATTAGCTGGGCATGGTGGTGCATGCCTGTGGTTCCAGCTACTTGAGAGGCTGAGGTGGGAGGATCACTTGAGCCCGGGGAGGTGAAGGCTGCAGTGAGCGGAGATTGCGCCACTGCACTCCAGCCTGGACAACAGAGAGAGAGCCTGTCTCAAAATAATAAAATAAATAAATAAAATACAATAAAATAGAATCCCCAAATTAAAACAACAATAAAATTTGCAATAATTCATTTTAAAGACAGTATCAAAGAAATTGCAACATTGTGGAGATTATGTCACAATTTGTTCTCTGTTAGTGTGTAAAATGATAAAACCTTTCTGGAAAGTGACTTGGCGATGAGCTTCAATAGTTTTACAACTATTCATTTTAGACTTCCATAGGAAAAAATAACAGCAGCAAGCACTGCCAAGTGTTCACAGTGACTGTTTACTGGTAGGAGAATTACAAATGGAATTTTGGTTTCAACTTTTTTGTATTTACCAAATTTAATCCACAGAAAATGATTTTCTTTTACAATCTGGGGAAAAAACTATAAATGTTTGGTTAGACAGAGAAATAGCTATGCTTATAGCCATCCACTTCTGGACCCATTCTAAGGAAATTATCTAGAGTATAAAGACAAACTTATGCACAAAAGTGTTAATCACTGGGTCATTTATATTATCAGAAAATGTAAACCTGGTATGTATCATTGCAATGGAGTATTATGCATTCATTCAAAAAGACAATGTCAGGAATTTTTTAATGACATGGAAACATCTATGGTATAATGCTAAGTCAAAAAATCAAGGTACAGAATTACACAGAATTAAGTGAAAAAAAAAGTGTCCGTGTAGAAAAAAAAAAGAAGGCAATACTGAAGAGTATTCATTGAAGTTATCTCCAGATAGTCCCTTTATATATTTTTTTGTTTTGTTTTTCTTTGTGTTTTTAGATTTTCTACAGTGACTATAAATTTGGGGAGAAAATCTTTAATTTTGCAATTTATAAGTTACAGTTTTATCTAACAGAGAGGAGACAATCTATTTGTGTACCAGATAAAATTAATTATGCTATGGCATTATCGTGCCACCAAGCATCAAATTGTGATTAGCACAAGAACGAGAGGCAGGCCAGGGATGCTTTGAAGGTTGCTCATAGTCTTTCTGGATTAACAGAGTGTAGCGCTGACATACTTAGCAAATAAAAATATAGAACCTTTGGCCGGGCATGGTGGCTCATGCCTGTGATTCCAGCACTTTGAGAGGCCAAGGTGGGCAGATCACTTGAGTCCTGGAGTTTGAGACCAGCCTGGGCAACATGGTGAAACTCCTTCTCTATAAAAAATAGAAGAATTAGCCAGGCATGGTGGTGTGGGCCTGTAGTTCTAGCTACTCGGGAAGCTTAAGAGGGAGGATCACCTAATATATATAATATATTATATATTATATAATTTTATATATTATATATTTTATATAATATATAATTTTATATATTATATATTTTATATAATATATAATTTATATATTATATATTTTATATTTATATCAAATATAATATATATTATAGATTATATATTTTATATTTATATTTATATAAAATATATTTATATTTTATATAATATATATTATATAAAATATAATTATATTATATATTATATATTATATAGTATATAAAATATAATGTATATATAATATATATATATTATATATTATATAGTATATAAAATATAATGTATATATAATATATATATATTATATATATATTATATATAAACACACACACACACACACACACAAATATATCCTCCAGTTCAATTGGAATTTGAATTTCAGAGAAACATTGAATAAGTTTTTAGCATAAATATGTCTCAGGCAATGGTTGGGATATGCTTAAAAAGAAGTTTGTGGTTTATTTAAAATTCAAGTTTGCTCAGGTGCAGTGGTGCACGTCTGCAGTCCCAGCTGCTAGGGAGACTGAGGCAGGAGGATCTCTTGAGCCCAGGAGTTCAAAGCCAGCCTGGGCAACATAGTGAGACCCTGTCATTAACAAAAAAAGGAAAAAAAATTAAATGTATGTATTCTGTACCTTGTTACTTGGTGACTCTAAGGATGCGGCCACATGCCAACCATTCTGGGTAAACAAGATCCCAGGTGGGCACTTGGAGTCTCTCCTTAAGACTGGTTTTTATTCCTTCCTGGTTTTTATGTAACAAAGGTGAATATAGGCTGAGTTTACTTAGTCCCATACGTAGCTTTACCTGGGAAAGTGGGGCACAGTGAAGGGGGCTGAGGTGGGAGCATGAGTGTGATAAATAGGACAGGCAGTGTGTTTGGGTGACTTTGACCACCTGAGGGTCTAGTCGACCTTTCAGTACATGTTTGGGCCCCTGCATCATGTCAGGGGGGATCCCACTGCTTTATTCTTCTAATACAGTCAGAAAAGAGAGAAGAGAGAGTACCAGGGGATGCACTTCTGACCACACACGCATGTGTGTGTGCACGTGTACACACACACACACACACACACAGAGCCCGTTTTCATTTCCACCATCTTGCCTATACCTTTGCTGTGCCTTCCACCCTGAATGTCCTGCCATCTCTTCAACCTAAGAGAATCCTTGCTCATCAAAGTGATATTGCTCTGAACTCCCAAGTCACATACATCCAAGCACATTAAATGTTGCTAGTAATATTAGATGCCATTTCTTGAGCATCATCTCTGCCAGGCACTCTACTAGATGCCTTATATATATTATGTCAAATCTTCAAAAGAACCCTGCCATTGAATCCCATTCTACAGGTGAGAGAATTGAACCACAGTGATGTAAATGGAATCATTGGGTTATGAGGATTAGTTGAGGTAGTATATTGAAAGCATCAAATAATGCTTAGCATATTGTAACTACTCAATAAATGGGGTAATCACTTTTTAAAGAGGCAGACATCTAGAGATGAAGATATAGAGCAAAACAGCAAATAATAATAATAGTAACAGCAACGGTTAAATTTACTGGGACAAGGTATAAAGCACTGTGATCAACATTTTACAGATGTTATTCTATGTAATTGTTCACCACTCTACAAATAAGTAGTGTTAGTCTTCCCATTTTACAGATAAGGAGACCAAGGCCCATAGCTAGTAGGGCTGGAGCTATCATTTGTTAGGACAGGAGTAAAAACAAGGATCAGGTCCTCAGACTTGGGCTTAGGAAGAAGGTTAGAAGGGAGGTGGAGGACACCATGGCAAATGTCATCCACATCACAACTTTACTTTGAATGTGTCCTGCACTCAGAACTGGGCACTATCTCCTCTAAGAAGCTGGAGATCAGGTCCCCTGTGGTCACTTGGTCTGAGGCCAGGGGTACTAAATGCTAAACAATACCTCCAGACTGACAAGAGAAGGAAGGAGGAGAGGGGATGTCCTAGCATGGCCATCCTGGGGCTCCTAGGCAAGGACATGCTGCCAGCTAGCCCAGCACCCATCTACAAAGTGAAATGGATTAGCGGCTCACTTTCAATCAGGCTGAGTTACGAGCTCAGCGATTTGTGGGACGTTTACATGAACCAGAAGATGTGTTATCTGATGAAAATTGCTTAATTTAATATCCTGGCTTGACAGGCAAAGAACTGTACCTCTCTGGGAGAATCTGCCAGGGTGGATGCTTTTTAAAAAGTCCCTGGACATGTTTAAGGAAAGCAACTGCTATCCTTTCCTTGTCCATCAAGAAACAGAACGCAGTATTTGCATCCAGGAGGCAGTCTGCCATCAGATTGTGCGCCCAGGGAGGCCTCAGACTATCTGCTTTCGTTGGATGACACCAAGACAGTCACACCAACCTATATCCTGGGATTTGAGTAGTCTGGTTTTAAGCTGTCAGAGAGCAAAGCACTCAGGCGCAGCTCTTTGGGGCTGGAAGCCTAGCTGTTGATGAATAATGATTCAGCACAGAGTTAACATGTTTTAGAGATATAAAAATAGAGACTACCACGAGCACACTATGTTTCCCTAAGCTTTTCATTCATTAGTTCAACACAAAGCTACTGAGGATTTAACACATATTTCTCAAACTTTAGCACACACTAGAATCACCAGAAGAACTTGTGAAATTGCAGAAGGCCGGGACCTCCAAGCAATCTGACAAGGTAGATTTGGGGTAGGGACCAAGAATATACATTTCCAACAAGCACCCCAGGGATGCTGCTGCTAGTGGTGGTGTGAGAACCACTGTGCCAGTTCTGGTGCCAGGCACGCAGCAAACAGCATCACCTTGGACCTCCTTGCCCTATACGTTCTTCTTTTTTTTTTTTTTTTGAGATGGAGTCTCACTCTGTCACCGAGGCTGGAGTGCAGTGGTGCAATGTCAGCTCACTGCAACCTCTGCCTCCTGGGTTCAAGAGGTTCTCCTGCCTCAGCCCCTCAAATAGCTGGGACTACAGGCATGGGCCACCATGCCCAGCTAATTTTTGTATTTTTAGTAGAGACAGGGTTTCACCATGTTGGCCAGGCTGGTCTTGAACTCCTGACCTCAGAAGTGCTGGGATTACAGGTGTGAGCTACCATGCCCAGCCCCTCCTTGCTGCATAAGTTCTACACAAGACTGGCTCAAAGCCACTATTCTGTGCCTTATGGACACTCAAAGCCCTATCCAAGGTGTCTGCAACATCAAGATTGTCATTTGTCACCTTGGATGTCAGTATTTATTAAGATCATTCTATTTGCAGATCACTGCGTTGTTTTTCATACTGTCCACCCATCTATGAATTGGGCCTTCTTATTTCAAACTGCAAAAACAAAACAAAACAAAACAAAACAAAACAAAACAAAAAAAACGCTAAAACTAAAGCAGTCTCATAAGATTCCTGGTTATGTCAGAGATTTTCACTTAAGACTAAAGGATAGCAACAGGAGTTTTATTGCAGAAATACTTCAAAATTTCAAATGAATAATAGACATCTCTGTTGTTAGAAACCTGACCACCCCAGCAGGCAGATCTATTCATGGGCCCCTCGCAGCGTGTGAAAACCTCATGGCCTTTCCCACCTCCTCATCTCTCTCTTTGCCCTCCTGTCACTTCTCACTTCTACCCCAACCCACCTCTATGGGCCACCTTGTAGAACTCCAAATTCTCCACACTCCATTTTACAGAACAATGCCATTCTCTCTGGCTCTGCTCCCAAATTCAGCTTCAAGGTCCATTTTTGCAAATGCAAGCCTGTGGCAGTGCTGAGCAAGTTAAAGGGCCTTGCCTGTAGCAGGAAGGCTGTTAGAGCTGCACCCAGCTCACCCCATTCCCCTCCTGCACGTGTATAGAGGTGAATAATGCAGGTCAATGCCAGGTTGGCTCTGTTAGCCTAAGAGGAGAGACAACACATGTCATACAATTACACTATTAGTGTGCATGTTCAAGTACTATAACCTAAATAAATATATTAAGGATTCTGGGAGAAAGGACAGAGGACAGGAGCAACAGGTCTAGCTACAGGAAACATGGAAAGGTCCCAGGGGAAGCAATGTTTAACCTGAGTTCTAAGGATAACTGAAATTCACCACTTATATGAAGGTGAAAGGATCACCCTGGAAGAAGGAACAGCATGAAGAGAAAGATGTATGCTCTAACAACTCTCTTTGAGGAAATCCTCACAATTTAGTTTTTCCTTCATATTTGCCGCTTTGTGTCATGGGTGATAAGAACCAGTTTTAGGTCTCTTATTGCAAGTAGTCCTGACAAGGGGGTCCAGACCCTTTCTTTAGAATTCTGAGCCCTCAACAGCCATTATTAGCCTCAGCTTTGAAGTTTGGCTCAAATTCCAGGATAGCAAAAGCCTTATTTACAATTCCATGACACTGGCAAGCAATGATGGAGCACCTGCTGTTTAAGAATGTGTGTAAGCTGAGCATGTGAGGAAGAGACTTGGGAGACCCCACAACTATACTGGAGGTGTCTGAAACATAATGAAAGGGAAAGGTGTCTGCGGTCTTTGTAGCCAGTGAGCACTGTATGAAGCTGTATGGTCTTAAACACAATTGCTACCTCATGTTGCCATCCATATCATGGAGAGAGGTTGCATTTGGAGACAAAAAGGAGGGCAATGATAAAAAATGCATATTTACCAGGATTCTTTCTGCCCAGAACAGAACTCCCACTCCCACAGTATTGTTTCATGTACTTGTCCAAGAGATCAGGCATTGATGAATTAAGGTGATCAAAACCAGCAAAAATTTTGACTTCAATTCTCTTTATCTCTAGCTTCTATTTTCCTCTGTTTTAGTTTCATTCTCAAGGGTGTTTATTTATTGGATTACTCCAAAAATGTTAACATTGATTTTTTTTAGCAATCTCAGCAGAGAAGAGGCTTTCCCAGTAATTCCATCGAAAGTCCCTGGTCTAACACTTTATGGCGAGGATTGGTCCAGCTTGAACTATGTAGTCACTCCAAAACCAACCTCATAGCCAGGGGAACGCTGGGTCTCATTAAACAAATCTAGGACACACACCTGCCCATCCCAGGGAGACTGGAGTCAAGTTCATCAGAAGCACCGAGACTGAAGGCAGGGGGCTGGAGAAGGCCACAGAGGAAAGGATGTCAGACAGGCAAAAACAACAGATATCCACCTGAGTGTGTAAAATGTAAATTTTTTTTTAAAAAGTGGGACACTTTGAAACCTGAATCATTAATTTCACAATGGATTATAATTGGGTCACTCCCATCAGAGTCCCTCTCTGCCAGGTACTTTGGAAGTAGTGGTTAGAAACATAGACACTGGTCGGGTGCAGTGGCTCACGCCTATAATCCCAGCACTTTGGGAGGCTGAGGCAGGTGGATCACAAGGCCAGGAGTTTGAGACTAGCCTGGCCAACACGGTGAAACCCTGTTTCTACTAAAAATACAAAAATTAGCCGGCTGTGGTGGTGCATGCCTATGATCACAGCTACTCAGGAGGCTAAGGCAGGAGAGTTGCTTGAACCCGGGAGGCGGAGGTTGCAGTGAGTTGAGATCGCACCACTGCACTCCAGCCTGGGCAACAGAGCAAGACTCCGTCTCAAAACAAAAAAAAAAAAAAAAAAAAGAAAAGGAAGAAGAAAAAAAGAAAAAGAGAGAGAGAGAAAGGGAGGAAGGAAGAAAGGAAGGAAGGAAGGGAAAAAGAAAAGAAAAAAGAAAAGAAAAGAAAGAAAGACACTGGCCTCAGAGTTCTGGACTCATCTCTCAGATCCCCCACTTAGTACCTGAGCAACCTTGGATAAATAGGGATAATAGTGGTGTTTATATCATGAAATTTTAATAAGGATTAAATTAGCGAACTTAAGAACTTAAAAGAGTACTTGTGCTGTTTTAAAGTCTCCTCATTGTTATTATTAGAATTTTATGTACAATTTTATGTATCTGTACATGTGCATTTTTTTCCTGATCAAAGGACTTACAGCTTTTACCAGATTTTCCAAGGGATTTGGGATGGAAAAAGAAAATCCCTTGTTTTTTCAAGACAGTGTTCTCCTGATTTAAACCCACCCTGATCACATGGATGAAGAATTGTTTGCATGCTGTCAGTGACAAGCAGACCTCATCTATCTTACAGTTTTTGTGGGCTGGTAAAATCTCAGGGTTTATTTGCAAGGCAGCATTATAGCACAGATACAAGCTTTAACACAAGCCTGTGGGTGTTTCTCAGGGTTGCCTGGCACACATTTCACTTCAGTCTTCTTAGGTTCATTAGCACAAGATTGGTGTGTTGGAAGGATCTTCAATTTCAAGGCTTAAACAAGAGACTGGCTCCAGACCTCTGAAGAAATAGCTTTGCTGGGCATCAATCACTTTGTCAGATTCCTGGGAACTGGAAGCACCAGTGCATATTTTGTGGTAGCCCACATTTGAGATCAGACTGGGTAGGCGCACAGTTAAGCAGGTCTTCAATTTCAGTTAGACACGCCATGCAGATAACTTGGGGAGAGGGAGAGAGGAGGGTACCATTAGGTGGGCATGCGGAGGGGGTGGCTGATAGAACCAGTTGGTCTCTGAAATCTCTACTTCTCTGCCCTTTGCCTTTCCATTTCTGCCTCCCCCGTCTCTTCAGACTTCCTCCCACTGCCGTCAGAGACACCCCCACCACCACCACCACACAGTGAAGGAGAGGCTGGGGAAGGGAAAGCCCTGGATAAGAGGGGCCAAGGCAGGAAAATTCAGGGAAAAGCAACCCGAGACCTTGCTCTATGTTATCTGCTTTCAACACAGGACCTTTTCCAGAATTATCAAAAACACCTTGGGCCCCTTTGGCCCGTGTGGTACACTGGATCATTGGGTCCAATTCTTCACTTCCACCCAGGATTAGAATCATACAGCTATGCCCTGTACCATGTGACTTGGGGGATCTCTTCTGTCTTCCCAGTGCCTGGGACTATGCCTAGCACATACTAGGTACCCATTAAACATTTCCTAGATGAATGCAAGGCTTATAAGTGAGAAACTAGACACTCTACATATAGCATCACTTATTTAGACACACAGCTAGTACAGAGAGACGAACCCAGGTCTGTCTGATTTCAAAACCCATGGTCTTCCCAATATGCCACATGGTCTCTTACTGAAGTAGATATGTTATCTGAATCTTGTTCCCTAAGCCAGAATTCAATAAAGCAGGAGGCAGGGGGGAATGATCTACTGGGATACAGAAAGAAAATATGAAAGCTTCTAGATTACCTCATCTTTTAAGATATCTATGTATTTCTGTAAGTGCTTTACAGTGTAGAAAATATATTACTACAGTGGTGTATATACCATGTGTGTGTGTGTCTGTGTGTGTGTGTGTATGTGTGTGTGTGTGTATATATATATATATATATATAATTACATGCTCAAATATTTCTTTATAATAGGGTGCATGATCAACAAAGTATAAATATCCATCAATAATAGAATAGGTTGGGTGCTGTGGTTCATACCTGTGATACCAGCACTTTGGGAGGCTCAGGCTGGCAAATCGGTTGAGCCCAGGAGTTGGAGACCAGCCTGGGCAACATGATGAAACCCTGTCTCTACAAAAAATACAAAAAATTAGCCACGCATGGTGGCATGCACCTGTAGTCCTAGCTACCCTGGGAGGCTGAGGTGGGAAGATGACTTGAGCTGGGAAGGCGGAGGTTGCAGCAAGCCAAGACTGTGCTACTGCACTCCAGCCTGGGCAACAGTGAGACCTGTCTCAAATAACAATAATAATAATGTATAAATAAATTATAATCTATTCATAGAATAGAATGCAAAACTATAGAAATGAACAAGTACTTTCACACCCAATAACATGGATGAATCTGAAACACAATTAATATGAGGTGAAAAAGGCCAGACATGAAATAGTATATGTTCCATGATTCCAGTTACATAAAATACAAAACCAGGCCAAATGAAGTTCTAGTGTTAGAAGTTGGGATATTAGTTACCGTTGAGTAGGACAGTGGGTGGTGATGTGAAAGGGGGACCCTGGAGAACATCTGTGGTGCTGGTAAGGTTTTATTTCTTCATCTTGGTGGTAAATATGTGGGCAAGTCTTCTTTGTGATAGTTCATTAAGCTGCAGCCTTGTGTCATATAAACTTTTCTATTATACGTTTTGAATCAACAAAAATTCGATGCTGCAGATGAAGAGAGCTGCATTCTCTTTGCTGCTCCTCCCACTGAGCAGTGGAGTCTAATTCCTCTCTCCTTGGATCTGGCTTTGCCTCTGTGTATCAATTTGGGTCCTCTGAGAAGCAGCTGTTGAGACTGAGTTAGGAGTGCAAGAGGTTTATTAGGCATAGCAAAGCACTCCTGAAAGATCAAGGAAAGGGAAACAGAAATGAAAAGGAACAGCCTTACACCACAGTGCAGATTGGACAAAGTCTTGGGCAACTTGATATGGAACTGTGGAGCAATTTTTTCATTAGAGGAGTCCTGCATTGTGCAGAAATGGCCAGGCCCTAGTACTCCAATCAGGCTAGGACATTGGCTGGAAGCTCTCTTGGCTGGAATGCTGCAGTAGCTCCTAAAGGTACGGTTGTTGGAGGTTGCAGTGGGAGCCATTGCACCCAGCAGAAAGGTAAATTCTTTCTTGCAGGGAGCTCCAAGTGGTACACTCCCATGGCTGCCATGCTTAGGGCCTTGTCTGACCTTCTGGGACTTCCAAGGCTTGATCCTAAGAAGACTACATTGTAGCCTCCGCCTAGGCCTCTTGAAATGAGGACTTTTAGAAACCTAAATCATGCAAGAAGTCTAGTTACCCTTAGGCTGCCATGCCATGAGGAAGCCAAGCTAGCCATCAGGAGGAGCATGTAAAGAGAGAGAGACCCATGAGCAGCCTGCCCTGCTCCAGACATCCTAGCCTAGACACACATGTGAAGAAGACATTTGGATTTTCCAGCTTCAATAGACATTCTGTGGAGAAGAAACAAGGAACCTAACTGACAGCCCCAGCCATGTGGCTCCAGGCAATCTTTCCCAGCCATTTCAGCTATTTCATCCCCCTCAGCTGAGTCCCCAGTCATTGCAGAGCATGGATAAACCACCTTACACTTCCATGGCCAAATTTCTGGCCTACAAAAACAACCATGAAAAAATGTTTGTTTTACTTGACTAAGCTTGAGGGATGGTTCTTTTAATGTAGCAATAAATAAAAGAAACCATTTAAAAGAAAAAGTTAGGAGACCATGCTAGTCTAAGCCACATGGGTATGTAATTGGAGGAAGGGATAGTGATCTCATTAGCAAATCAGAACCTCTAGTGCATTTGATTTAGAAAGAGTGCTCACGATTATGAATAATAATATGGTGCATTAGTTCTGCTGTTTACCAGCTATGAGGCCTTAGGCATGTGGCTTCACTTCTCTGGACATTGGTAAACTCATTAGTAAATGGAAAAAAATGAATGGG
This sequence comes from Homo sapiens, assembly GCF_000001405.40. Classification (NCBI taxonomy): domain Eukaryota; kingdom Metazoa; phylum Chordata; class Mammalia; order Primates; family Hominidae; genus Homo; species Homo sapiens. Next base: position 114,291,373 of record NC_000012.12, read on the forward strand.
CTTGAATGAAACAAAGCATCTGAAGCACTTAGCATATTGCTTGGCACGTAGGAAACATTCAGCAAACTTTAATTATTATCAGCACCATCATGACCTCAGTTTTTCCATCTGATAGAAGGCACTAATAATGCCTGTCCACCCACCTATCAGAGTGGAAAGAACCTTTGGGGTTCAGAGGAGTTCAGAAAACACAGTCAACCAGCCACAGAGCCTGTGTTTCCAACTCTGAATGACAAATTCTTTCTATTCGTTCCCCATTTCTGAAGGTACTGCCCCAGGTCCTATTCAAGACAAAAGGTTTGCCCTGAGTCCCAGGCTTAAGAGAGCAAAGCACAAATTGAAGAAGGTCAGGAATTTTGAGCAGGATGTTCAGAAATGTCACATTTTTCCAAGCTGAGCCAGAGTCTTGGTTGGTAGAAACCTGCCTCTCAGTCTCTCCCAACCCAAGAACCCTTCAGGACCCATTAGCACAGCCTAATCCAGACCTGGTGTGCATGACTCCAAGCTGGAGGTGTTGATCAGAACCATATTCTTACATGCCAGAGACACAGAGCTGAGCTGGAAGGCCTCCAGGCCCAAGCTTCTCTGGCCTAGATCACCCTTTCTTTAATCCTGTGCTCAGGAGGTTGCAGTGTGGTTTGTGGTACTTTAAGACACCCTGGTCTGAAGCTCTGGCTGTTGAGATCTATGTTGGGGGGGGGAAGCAAAATAACAAAGCAAAAACAAAAACACCCCAAAATAAAAAACAAGCTAGCTAAAGAAGTAGTTGTAGACAGCAAATTTCCAAACTGTTTTCTAATCTTTCCAGTTGGTCTCCTCTCTTTGGGGCACTACAAGGTTAAATACTGTACTCAGCTATTCATTTTGTCTTGCTTTTCTGGCTTTGAGAAGATAAGTGACTCAGTTTATCCTCCCATCAGGAGGAAATGAGATTCAAAATATCCAGAGCTCATCATATAGATTGCAAGCTGGCAACGTGTCACTCTCACTCCTTGCTTGTATAATTTGTAGAGTGGGGGTGGAAAAAGTAGTTCCCATTGTCAGTGGTGAGGGAATAATAATATTATTATTAATTAAATACTCATGGAGCCAGGGACAAGATACTGTTCTGGGTGCTTCATGTCTGTTGTCTCTCTTAATCCTTACAACAGTCTGGTGATCAAGAAACTCTTGTAATTCCAATGTCAGATGAGGAAACTGAAGTTCAGAGAGGAGGAGTGGGTAACACAGCCATAGAGCAAATAATGGGTAGAGTTTGGTTTTGAATCCAAGTCTCTGGCCTCAAAGTGGCAAGTTAAACACTGCTGAAAGCTTTACCTTTCTAGCTACAATTTGGGCCATATATGCAGAAAAACACTTTTGTTTTGATACAGGGTACAAGAGACTCATGGATAAAGTTGAATGCCAACAGGTTGATCTTTCTAGAACATGTCAAAGTTAGCCTACGGTGACACTGGAGCAGAATATTTAAAACTGGAACCAACCCTGAATGTAGGTTGTGTAGTAACTGTGGATTCTTTGCAAATAAAGGTACATTTATCCCCCTCCCTGTATACAGGCTCCAATGCAACGTGACTTTTCATCTCCTCCCATGAAAAGGCAGAGCCTATTCTCCTGCCCTTGAATTAGAGCTGGCCTGTTGCTTGCTTTAACCAATAGAATATGGTGGAAGTGATGCTATGCCTGTTTCAAGTCAAGGTCTCAAGATGCCTTGCAACTTCATCTCTTCCTCTTAGAAACCTGCCCAACCACTGTGAGAATTAGACAGTTGGAGGCAGACTACATGGAGCACAGAAGCCAGCTAGGGCTCTCTTAGACAAGCCAGCCCCCAGCCAACCCCTGCAGCTAACAGCAAATGAATGTGAGCCCGTTTCTGCAACCAGAAAACCACCTGGCTGAGCCCAGTACAAATTGCTGACCTGCTGAATTATGAGCTCAGTATTTGGCTGTATACAGATACAGTGGCTGGACCTTTGAGCCATTATTTATGACATTTGTACAGGCCCTCTGTCCTGTATTCAGTAGTCAATGGATACCATTATTCTCGTCACCACGGTAGGGTTCAAATGGCTGGGAGCTTTAGGACCAGATACATCTATACAAAATAATAAAGGCCGGCACTTAGGCAATACCTGTTGTGTGCTAGGTGCTATTCTAAGAGTGTTGCATGTATTAACTCATTTAATCTTCCTACCATTTCTCTGTGGTATGCACTTATTACCAACCCTATTTTATCAATGAGAAACTGAGGAACAGGGAGGCTAAGAAACTTGTCCAGAGTCACAAAGCTAATAAATGGTACAGCTGGAGGTCAAACCCAGGCAATCTGGCTCCAGAACTTGTGCTCTTAAAAGCCAAGTCACGTTATGTTATTCTGAGTAAGCCTGCTGCTTACTACAACTGGCTCAACAGCTTACTAGTTACATGGGAACTTGGCAAATGAGTTACTCTATCTGAGGCTAAATTTCCCCATCTGTACAATGGAAACAATAATAGTATCTCCCTTAATGGAGTTATACAGAGATGAAATGAAATAATGCAAGCAAAGCACCCAGTCATATTTAACAAATATCAGCCATAATAATAATTAGTTGCTATCCATTTACGCTACTGTTTGAGTATAGAAATATCTTATTACAAAAATAAATGATGAATTACATTATGCATAGGTACACTATAATTATTATTCATACTCTTGAGTCATCAAATTCCAATTTGGCAATTGTCCTCACAGTTTTGTTGATTCTGTTTTGACTCTGACTCTGTCATTGATTTCTCTTGTGATTTCCAGTGCTGAGTTGTTTTTGAGATGCTCCAGAAATCCACTGAGTCTGTGAAGTATACCCACATTCTTCAACAGCCTAAGGAAGCAAAAAGACAGAACTTAGCAGGACCTCAGCCTGACTTCTCCATTGGCCCACAGCTTGAGTTCCTTTAGGTCTCTCTGACTTCCCTGAAGTCCTTGGGTCCAACCATTCCTCCTCTTCACCACCCCAGAAACTGTTTGCCTTTGCGAGATATTAGCCAAGACTTTGCCTCTTTGTGTTCTCAAATGTTGATGACTGAAGTGTGAATAACCTCAAAAGCTCCCATTGCAAGCCTTTAGTCATGAGGAGGCTGGTAGAAAACTTCTGGAATTCCCAGCTGAGGTCCATGATGACTAGCTATTCAACATGAGAGTTTCTGCAAAGATGAAAGCTGGTATCACCAGCCACATGGGGAGGCGTTGTTGGGCATTCTTGATGGCCAGGCCGGACTTAGACAATGAGACACAGTGTATCCAGCCTAGGCTAGGGGAATCAGAAGAAGTTGCAGAAAGTGTGCTAAAATATGGTTTGTCAGTTCAGCCCCAAAACCTCACCATTCCTCTCCTGATTTTCATCATCCCATCAGCCTAGCAGACTTGGTAGACATGAAGATGCACCTTCCAGATCCCTCTTCAAAGGAAGACTTGCTGTCCAGCAGCAGGAAAGATGGACAGCAGACCCTCCAGGTCCCTTCTCAGCTGCAGAGTCACCTCACCTCACCCGAGGACATGCCTTTCTTGGGACAGCCTGCAGAAGAGATCAAACATGATAAAGAAATAAACACCCTCTCCTTTTCATAGATATGGTCCCCAATAAACACCTTGTACCCCAAACTCTGGTTCAGTGTCTGCTTTCAGAAAACTCAATGGATAATACAGGCACAATTTCTCCAAATCTCCAACCTATCCTAGCTTCCACCTATACTACCTCTTGCCAAATAAGGAGCCAGTATTTCTTTTTCCATTGGCATATACCCCCACCAGTTTACCTGGGAGATTAATTCCATTTTGCAGGTACAAAAAAGATTGCCTTTGTCATGTCAGTCATCACTTCCTTTGGTTAAGAATAGAAATACTAGCTAATCCCTATTAACCTAGTACCTTGCACACTGTATGTCATTTCATCTCCTTAGCAATCTTCAGCAAGATAAGACTATCTCCATCTTACTGAGGAAGAAACCGAGACTCAGAGAGGTGAAGTGGCTTACCCACAATGATTCAAAGGCTAGTTCTCTACTTCCAAAGCCTACATTGAGTAGGTTGGTTACCCAAGCACATTTCTTCCAGCAGACATGCTAAAGGAGCACTTCTCATGGTAGAATCTTGGGGAAATGTGGTCAGAGAAAAGCAGTTTGGCTTAGTGGCTAACAGCTCAGCATTGGTGCTAGATGGCTTGAGTTTAAGTCCTGCCTTCATTACACATAAACTCTGTGCTATTTGGCCTGTGATGAAACCTCTCTGTGCCTCAATCTTCTCACGGTAGTAGTTCCTATCTCAAAGAGTTGTCGTAAAGATTAGGAGCTTAGAATATGCAAAGTGCTCAAAACAATGTCTGGCATATAGAAAGCTATCAATAAATGTTGGATGCAATTATGAGGGAATAATCCTTGGAGACCAATTACTCCTGCAGTTTTCAGCTTGATGAAGATGTTATGAAAGATGTGACCATGAGAGCTGCCTGCCTGTGGCAGTCAGAATTTTTGATTGTCAGTTATATATTTTTGTCTCTATAAAGCTAATTGTCCTTAGTAATATTAATGGGGAAGAGAAATCAGTTTTTAAGGAAGACTGCTTGCTAGAGAAATCATTCTAAACATGGCATAAACGTGAGGTAAGTAAACTAAAATAAGTTGGCTTTGATGGTGAGAAATGTGAGAACCGTGGATCTTGTCCAGCCCATTACTCTACAGATGGGGAAACTGAGACCTAGAGTGTACAGCTGAATTACCAGGAGTCGCCCATGGTTATATGGCCAGAGTCTATGTTTGTAGGGTGCTGGAGACTTGCTGACACGCACAGGTAATCAATGGATAATAAAACCAGTTACCCACAGCCCAAGACCGAGTTTACAACCCTGACACTAATGGACCTCAGAGAGGCAAAGGGTGCTAGAAACCACTTTTCCCTCATCTCCCTGGGCTAATGGCTTTATAGAGGTCATAAACTACTGAGTATTTTAATAATGAGAGTGACCTCTCTTGGCCCAAATGACCCACCATGTCTTGATTGACATGTAGGCCTGGCATTTCTTACAGCAGCAAGAACCAGCCTCCTTCTGGGCCTGTGGTCTGAACCACAAGACCCCACTTCCCCTGGGAATTTTCCAAATGTCTTTGGGAGTTGTTAGCCTTTGTTCACCTATCCTGACTCAAGGGAGGAATAATTCAGACTGGCAGTTTCTACAGTGAATGCACAGCTTAGCCCGAACTCAGTTCTCAGATAATTAACAACATCTCTACACAGAACAGCTTGGAAGGTTTGGTGAGTGTCATTAACCTCTTCTGGTTCTGAGGCTGTCATTCATTCACTCAGTTATTTATTCAGCTCATTTTAATAAATGTGGTGGCCAGCCTTCTAAGAGAACCCCAATCATTCCTGCCTCCTGGAATTAGTTGTGTAAGAATCTACCACACTGAATAGGGCTGACCTATGTAACTAGTAAGATATTGTGGAAATAGCAGAGTATGACTTTTGAGGCTGGGTCATAAAACAGACTGCAGCTTCCACATTGCCCTCTCTTTTGGATCACTTCTCTGGAGGAAGCCAGCTGTCATGTCATGAAGACATTCAAGCAGCCCTGTGGAGAAATCCATGTGACAAAGAACTGAGGCCTCCTGCCAACAGCCATGTGAGTGCACCGTCTTGGAAGAGGATCCTCCAGCCATCATCAAGCCTCCAGTTGAGACCACAGGCCCAACTGATATATAGACTGCAATCTCATGAGAGACCCTGAAGTACAACCACACAGCAAAGCCATTCCCAGATTTCAGACCCCCCAGAAACTATGTGAGATAATCAATGTTTATTGCTTTAAGCTGCTAACTTCGGGGCTAATTTGTTATGCAGCAATTGATAACTAATACAACAAGCACCCACTGCATACCAGACCCTGAACTAGGTAGTAGCATGCAAAAAATGAACAAAGCAAATACCACCTCTGCTTCCCAGAGCTTATAGTCCAGTAGCAAATCTTATGCAGAAAGTAGAATTAGTCTAAAAAGATCATTTAGAAATTGGGATCTGATATCAGTACAGTAAAAATACAATCTTCTCTACGAAGAAAAATTAAAAAACAATACCTTTTACTTTGTATTTCTGTATTGTCTAATTGTCTTTTTTAAAGTAATTTTTATCAAGGCATCTTCTCATGAATAATTCTTATGAGAATTTAATTGATACACCTTTTCAGAAAGGAATCTTGGCAACATATATCAGAAAAGTCATAAAAGGACAAGACACTGTGGCTCACAACTGTAATCCAAGCACTTTGGGACACTGAGATGGGCAGATCATTTGAGGTCAGGAGTTCGAGACCAGCCTGGCCAACATGGCAAAACTGCATCTCTACTAAAAATTAGCCAGGCCTGATGGGGCAAAACTGCATCTCTACTAAAAATTAGCCAGGTGTGGTGGTGTGTGCCTGTAGTCCCAGCTGCTTGGGAGGCTGAGGCATACGAATGGCTTGAACCCATGAGGCAGAAGTAGCAGTGAGCCGAGATTGTACCACTGCACTCCAGTCTGAGTGACAAAGCAAGACTCTGTCTCAAAAAAAAAAAAAAAAAAAAAAAAAAAAAAAAAAAGCCATAAAAGTGTGCGTACCCTTTGACCCAGAAATTTAACTTAAAGAAATATGCAGAAATCTATGAAAAGAGGAAAATCAATGGGTGCTCACTACACTGTTATTTATGAGTGCCTGAAATTGGAAAGGGCCTAATTATCAATAATAATAAGCTGGTTAAATTACTATTTAATTCTGGGCCTTCCATACATTGGACTCTTACGTAACAATTAAAAAGATGATGTAGCTCTACATTTATTTTCAAGGAAATACGTCCTGACATACTGCTAACTGAGAGGTTATATAACAGTATATACTGTATAACTCTATTTTAATAAAAACATATATTTATGCATAAAATTATTGGAAAGCTAAACCACAACATGTTAATGATGTTATGTCTAGGCAGAGGGATTAGAAATATATATATGTTTTATTTCTTTTGGCTTGCCTGTGTTTTTTAATTTTTATTTTAAAGTTATGGATTACTTTGGGAACATATAGAGTTCCAAATACATTTAAGTAAGGCTCCCTATGTGCTCATTAATTAGGCTCACCTTTGCTATTCTTAGGTTGCTTGTTTTTCCCTAACCCTCCAGAACAGACCAGCCCCCATGTTCTGACCCACCTCTCCTTCCTCCCCTTTTTCACCAACTACTGGGGACTGGAGATATGCCTGAGTCCTTGAATCAAATAGAGAATACAGATCTCCTTCAAAGTGCCCCCAGATAACCCCTCCATCTTCTGCAGGGAAGATCTACCTCCCCAGAGGGACCTGGCAAGCAGCTCCTATCATTGGCTTTGAAGGCAGAGTGAACAGATGAGACCAATTCAGCACCCATCAAGGACTCAGGCAGAAAGCAAGCTGATGGCATTCCCTACTTGGGATGGCCCGTGAAGGATTTGTGACTTCAGTGGAGAAACTTTTAAGAGACCATAAGCCGAGTTGAGTGATCAGGAATTTTATCCGATTGAAATGAAAGTTGGGAGGAAGGAGGCTAGACTTTTAAACTTGGCCAAGGTCCACTTCATAGCAGCGAGAATGTAACAGGCAGATCGGTGTTCTTATTACTTACCTCAAGCAACAGATGACCACCTGGACCATTTCTGTCTCTTGAGTGCAACAACAAGGCTCCTGGCCCCAGCTGAGATTGTCTCTGTTTCCATGACCAGTCTGACTCCCTAACCCTCCAGAACAGACCAGCCCCCATGTTCTGACCTGCCTCTCCTTCCCTTCTTGACCAACTACTGGGGACTGGAGAGAACATTGCAGCAGTTATTCCCAATTCTCCACTTGCTCCCTTACACCCAGATGAATTAATTCATTCATTTGCCAATAAGAAGTTTGCACTGACAATTGAGAGGTTTGGATATTCTTTTGAATACAAGGAAGAGCTCATTTATTCCTTCAAGACAATTAAGTGCCTCCTGCAGGATGAGGATGGGACAGGCCCTGGGCCAAGCACTGGGCACAGAACTGTGAACAAGACCACATGATCTTACAGCTGTGGAGTTCACCTGCTAGGCAGGAGAGAGATACTAAACAAGTAAATACAGAACATCATTTCTGATGGTGACATGTGGAAGGAAATAGACCTGTGGCTAAGTTGGGGAATAACTAAGACCGTGGTCCAAAGTCAGAGAAGGCCTCCTGGAAGAGTAACATTTGAGCAAATGCCTGAATAAAGCTAGACGTTCATTGACCAGCAGAGTCTTTTATAACTACCCCAGTTCCGTGGAAAACTTGGGCTGGTCTAAGTACTGTCCAGGCACAGTACACAGGGGGCTTTTGATCTTCTGAACTACCAGCCCCTTCAGTGTGTTCAGAACCCTACCCTCTATCTCTAGGGCTTATGAGTATCCTGGAATGATGAAAGGAGAGGTTGTTCCGATGGGAAGGTCACACTGGGAGCTGGCAAATCTCAGGGCCTCTGCAGGCTGAACATCCAATAGGTAGCATGCTGATTATGATGGACAAGAGACCCTGGCCAGATGCTACCAGGAAAGACAGCAAGTGTGATCCCCAGAACTTTCTGGAGCAGAAGCTGGGCAATCTAATGCTGCTCAGATCCCACCTAGTTCCTGAAAAATTCACCTTCAGGTGGAGGTTGATCCAGCCTCTTGTGTCTGTCCACCTGTTTAGGTCAGATCCTTTCCCCTGGTTCCTTTATCTATTTTCCCTCTCAAATTCTATCTATCTTTCCCCCTCCCTTCCAGCCTAGATATCCTTTTTCTGGCTCAGGGACTGATACCCACCCTTATTCATTATAAATACCAAATGTATTTTCTGTGACCTGAGATCCTCATTAAAGGGCATAGAATTTTGAATTTCAAAAGCTGGAGGGAGATTCTATTTTCCTTTGTTTTCTGATGTCTCAACTTTTCCCTGAAACAAGGAGTACAAAAGAAACAAACACATATTTGGAATGGAGGTAGAGAGTGACAAAATGGGCTGGGGGGTGGGGGGTGACTGGTACAATGCAAAGAATAACAGTAGCCAGGCTGTGGCACAAGCTATTCTGGAGGCCAGGATTGGTGGCACACACCTGTAGTCCCAGCTAGTCTAGAGGCTGTGGCAGGCAGATCGCTAGAGGCCAGATGTTCAGGGCTGCAGTGAGCTATGATTGCATCACTGCTCCAGCCTGGGCAACAGAGCAAGACCCTATCTAAAAAAAAATTAAAAAGTGCTTAGCAGTGAGTGTTTAACTAAAGGAAGTCCATAATATGGGAGGATCCCTTGAGCCCAGGAGTTGCAGGCTGCTGTGAGCTATGATCACAACGCAGCACTCCAGCCTAGGTGACAAAGTGAGACCCTATCTCAAAAAAGCAAACAAAACCCAGTAAATATTAAAATATCCCAAGAAAAATTGCTTAATGTTTTCAAATTATTACCTCACTACAAATATCGAGTGAGCATCTACTGGGTACAGAGTTAGGGACTGGGAAAACCACAGGAATCTAGACGGGCCCCCATCCTCAGGAGGCTAGTGAAAAGGAAAGCGGGGACATGGGATGAGCAGGGAGAGCCTCCAACTGCCACGGAGATGAAGAGCAGCACCTCGGTCCACACAGCAGGGAGCTTTGGAGCAGAGATCACCAGGAAAAACTACCCAGGCCCATACCTCGGTCAAGTGCAGTCATCAGCCAGGAAAGAACCTGGCTTTAGCCAGAAGCCAAGGTGACTCTGGAAGGCTCTGCAGCTAGATCTGTGGGCTCCTGCAGTGCTCACAGCTGGGCAGAGGGTTCTTTCTTGAAAGGAGATCTGGAATGGGGCAGGGCTGTGACTCTTTCACACCCTAAGGAGGGCAATGAAATGGGCTGAAGAGGTGAGCAGAGGACTCAATAACCCGGCTCTTAGGGCTGTCTGAGAGAGCGTCCATGACCAGGAAAATCGACAGAGAGACCTGAAGGTGCAGGGAGAGTCAGAGGAGGGTGTAGAGTAGGGGTAAGTGTGTGAAAGTTGAAGCCAGGCCGCCCTGGGATGTGGGTTTAACCCACACTCTGCCACCCACCACCGGAGAGGTGAGAACAGGTTGTATCATCTATTTGTGCTTCAGCTTCCTCTTTAATAGAACTAGGATGATGAGAGTACTAATCCTACAGCTTTATTGGAAAGATTGCAGAAACAGTACTAATCCTATAGCTACATTGGAAGAATAAGAGAAATAGTACTAACCCTATAGCTTTATTGGAAGGATTGCAGAAATAGCACTAACCCTACCACTTTACTGGAAGGATTACAGAAGTTAATGTTCTAGAAAGCACTTAGAAAATGCCTGGACAAGAAACAGCATTCATAAGTGTTAAATTCCCAGGTTAAAAAAAAAAATGAAAAACAGTACTTCTAGGCAGAGAGCACAGCCTAAGTAATAACCCGGAGGATGGGAACAGAACAGGAAAGAAGGTAACCCACATCGGTGGTACAAATCCAGCCAAATGCCCAGGTAATCTAATTCAACTCAAGTAATATTTAATTTATTTTTCAGGCACCTATTTTAAGGAAAATACATTCTTTGGTCTTGTCTAACAGCCCACCAAGATGTACTCTGTCATTTTCTCCAAAATCCATTCAGATCTTGCCCAGATTGACTCAAAGCTGAAAAACAATGAATGTTGGTGCCCTTTCCACAGTCCCACATCCCTTTCTGGTTAAAGCTGCTATTTAGTTCAAAACGACAGATGTTGACACAAATTCTTGCTGCCACCCACAAGAAAAATTGAGTGAACTCCTGAAAGCCCCTCCTCCTTGTCTCAGACTCAGATCTTCTCTCTCCTCTCTCCTCTCTCTCCTCTCTCTCTTTCTCTCTCCGTTCCCTCCTGGTGCCTCCAGGGTGGAGACCGGTCAGCCCCTCCCAGGCCAGCCGGTCATCCATCAGCCTCGAGCTGCCCTGCCCTGCACGTTGCGGACTCCACCAGCTCCTTCCTGCCCCTCTCGCCAGCCCATATGGAATGAGTTGCTCCATTTTTACTCCTTATCAGAAATGGAAATATTTCCCCTGCATCTTTGTGAAGATTTTCTGCATCTGTGAGCTGGATGGATACTTAACCCTTCTCATTCCAAGGTGCTGCTGGGCCTTGGAATCCCAATGTGGAATCCCTGGATGCGGAATCCTCAGATCACAGAAGTGGGGGGTTCAGCACTTGGGAGGAATCCAGTTACACCACTCCATGACTTTAGAAACAGGTCCTTGAGGTAGCTCCTTCTCCATTTTATTAATCTTGAACTTGCACCTCTAGGATAGAAATGACAGCAACCAGCACATTTTGGGTGCTTGCTATAGGCACATTTAATTCTTCCAGCAACCACGGAGATAGATGTTGGTATCATCATCCCCATTTTACAGATGAAGCTCAGAGAGGTTAAGTAACTCGCCCAAGGTCACACAGCCAGTAAGTGACAAAGCTGAGCTATCTAAGCCACAGCTGGAGTTCTTTTCCATTCACTGTAAGACTGTAGAGAGACATAAATGATAGTGCACTGTGACCTAGGACAGTCTTTCCATCCTAACCTACCAAATTTTACAGATACTGTGAGATGGGAGGAAGCAGTGAGCCAGCAACTTTCCCAAGGGTATGCAGCTAGTAAATGAGAAAGCCGATGTGGATGCAGGCCCAGGAGCTCTGCAGCACACCCGTTTATTCTCATTTTCTTCTTTAAGAAATGCAAGGTAGGCTGGGCATGGTGACTCATGTCCATAATCCTAGCACTTTGGGAGACTGCGGTGGGTGGATCGCTTGAGCCCAGGAGTTTGAGACTAGCTTAAGCAACATAGTGAAACTCTGTCTCTGCAGAAAATTTAAAAATTAGCCAGGTGTAGTGGAGTGCACCTGTAGTCCCAGGTACTCAGGAGGCTGAGGCAGGAGAATCACCTGAGCCCAGGAAGTAGAGGTTTCAGTGAGCCATGATCGTGCCAATGCACTGCAGCCTGGGTGACAGAGCTAGACCCTGTCTCAAAAAAAAAAAAAAAAAAAAAAAGAAAGAAAGAAAAAAGAAAAAGAAAAAAGAAATATAAGATTGAGGCTTGGTTATCCATAAAGGAGGACTGAATAAATTTTTCAGCTAAGAGCCTGGGTTCCAGAGTCAGGCAGAACAAGGTTTGAATCCTGATGTCACCATTTACAAGTGGCATGTTCAGGGGCAAGTTGTCCCACCTTCTTAAGCCTCAATTTGCTCAGCTATAGAATGGGGCTAACAAAAAAAATCTACCTTAAAGGGATTTGGTAGGGGTTATTCGCGACTCTAAAGGCAAAACGCTCAGCATAGTACCTGGCACATCACATTAGCCCTCAGTAAATAGTAACAATCTTTACATTGTTATTAATAATAAACGTGGATGGCCAGGCATGATGGGTCACACCCGTAATCCCAGCATTTTGGGAGGCCGAGGCAGGTGGATTGCTTGAGTTCAGGAATTCGAAACCAGCCTGGCCAACATGGTGAAACCCCATCTCTGCTAAAGATACAAAAATTAGCCAAGCATGGTGATGTGCGCTGTAATCCCAGCTACTTGGGAGGCTGAGGCAGAAGAATCGCTTGAACCCAGAGAGTGGAGGTTGCAGAGAGCTGAGATCGTGCCTCTACACTCCAGCCTGGGTGACAGAGCAAGACTCTGTCTAATATAATAATAATAATATTAATAATAATAATAAATGTGGATTGATTTATGTCTAAAGGCAGCCAGCAAATATTTGTGGAGCAACTACTGGGTGCAATGCCTCAGGCCACGAGCATTCAAGGATGCAAAGAAGAGTCAGCTGTCAAGTAACTTTATGTAGAAAAGAAGAGTTGGGTATGTGACAAGGTCAATGGCGATTCAGTTAGAAGGGAGGTCTGTGTGAAGCTTTCTCATCTTGGGTAGCGTATTGTATTATATTTATTTGTATTATATTTATATCTTTGTGTGTGTGCGTATATATATATATATATATATATATATAAAATATTGTATTATATTTATATCTTCAAGCAGCTCATAGTCCAGATGGGGACCCAACTCCATGCATCTTCACAGTGGTGTCAGTTCTTCCTCCAAAATATATCCATTATGCATCCACTTCTCTGCGTGTCTATTATCGAAACTACCCTGTCTCCTGCCTGGGTGATTACAATGGGTTCCTAAGTGGTTTCCCTGATCCTCCTCAGGTCCCCCTAAAACCCAGCATGATGTTTAATGTACAAATCACATAATTTCACTCCTCCATTACGAGGAGATCTTGTAACCAGCATAAGGAGTTTAGATTTTTTTTTTCCTAAGGCTCCTGCTGACCTCTCCAATACCATCTCTTACCTCCAAGCCCTGATCTCTTTGCCCCAAGCCACTGTCTTTCTTGCCATTACTCAAAACACACCAAGTTCTTCCCCACCTCAGGGACTTTGCACTTGTTGTTTCCTCTGCCTGAGACATGCATCTGCCCACATAGTCCCATGAATAATTCTTCTTATCATCAATGTCTTAGCTGAAACATCAGCTCCCTGGAGATGCCTCCCCTGACTGTCATTTGTAGACATGCATCTCCACTTCACATTGTATCATATTCCTCTATCACATCACATGCAGTTACCTCACACTTTTATTTATTTATGTGCTTATGGTCTGTCCCTACCCCAACCAGAGCATGAACTCCAGGAGGGCAGGGATCCTCTCTGTTCTGTTCACTGTTGAATCCCCAGCGCCTAGCCTACTGCCTGGCACATAGTAGGACCAGAAATATATTTGTTTAATGAAATGATAGATGAAGGGTTTGAGAGCTCCTTGGAAACAGAGGACATACATTCTTCTCCTTAGGATCCAAAGAACCTGGAACACTGCCAGGCACCCAGTAGGTGCCAAATTAATGCTTGTTGAATGAATGAAGATTATCATTCAAGAGACTTCACAGGCAACCCATAACCTTAAACTCCTTGAAAGAAGAACCTCTTTACTTTTTATCTCTAACCAAAACCCTACTTACTAGAGTAGATGCCCAATTAATGCGTCTTGAACTGAACCAACCTATAAGTACAGATTCCAGAAGCTTGGAATTAGTGGAAAGTCAACTCATTGAATGTGGAGGGCTCTGGGAAGGCTCAGGTAGAAAGAGGTATTGACATGAGTGCTGAAAGATGGTTAGGGGGAGAGAGGGGAGCAAGGAGAGAAAAGAGAGCAAGTGATCCAGGTGAGGATGACAGTAAATACTGAGGCTGAGTCAGCAAAATGCAAAGTATCATCCAGGCACAGTTAATAGATCATCAAGGCTAATAGATCATCCAAGGCTGCCCTGGAGGTGTATACAGGAGGTAACAATATATTGGTTAGAATAAAGTTTGACTACTCTTACAGACAGTGAAACTGACAGTGGTTCAGACAAAACAGAAGTTCATTTCTCCCACACATATAAATCCCATTAAGTAGCCCAGGGTCAATATAGTGACTCTACAATCACCAAAAGGTTTCTCCAGTTTTTGCTCTTCCATCTCCACCACACAGCTACCACCTCATGATCCAAGACAGCTGCTCGGGATCCTGCCATTATGTCTGAGTTCCAGCATGAGGGAGGGAAGAAAAGGAGAAGGGTAGGGCACATCCCTCCCCTTTAAGGGAGCAAATCAAAAATTATACAAATCACTTCTGCTCTTACTCCATTAGCTAGGATTTAGTCCCATGGCCACATTTAGCTGCAAGGGAGTCTGAGAAATGTATTTTTTTATGCTGGGTAGCTATGCATAAGCTAAAGATTCCATTACTATGGATTATTTGGAGGAACCAAATAATCAAGACTCTGCTACAAATAGCAATAATTTTTAAAACAATAATAATAATAATAGTTAAAATTTGTGGAGCGCTTACTCTTGTGCCAGACACAGTTCTTTTAATCCACAACAGTGCTATGTGATTGACGTCATTATCCCCATTCTATAGAAAAGGAAACTGAGGCTCAGAGAAGCACATATAACTTACCCATGGTTGCACAGCTGGTAAGCGGTAAAATCAGGAGTAGATTGATTCAGCAAAGAAGAAAAGCCCAGCTGTTTGTAACCCAAAGAGATGAAACATTATTACCCTCAGAGCACTGGGGAGCCATTGAAGCTTTAACAGCAGAGTAAGAAAACTCCTAATAGTCCCTGAACTCAGGGCTTTATTCTCATTGTCTCATTTCAACTTCAGTACTATTAGTATCCCCATTTTGGTGATGTCTGTTTGGTTCACAGCTGTATCCCTTGTCCCTAGAATGTTGTCTAGCCTGTAATAGATGCTCAGTAAACATTAGTTGAGTTGTTGAAAAATCATATTTGCAATTAAATTACTCTACGTGTCATTATGGTTTATAGTCTGTCTCCCCTAATAGACTGCAGATTCTACTTAGGAATTCCACTTAGGACAAAGTGTGAGTCATATCTATGCTGTATATTACTTCTGATTTCCCCAGTTCTAGCTCAGTGTCTGCAACATAGCACTTGATAAATGCCTGTGGAATGAGTGATCATCATTGTCACTGGGAATGGAAAGATTGAGAGGAACCTCTTTAAAATACTATCCAGGAACCTATCCTTTTCTCAAATTGGAAACAAAATTAAAACTAAAGAACACAACTGCCAACCACTGATGAGGCCCCCAGCTGCTGGGTTCCAAACTCACTTTGGATCCCGTTCAGAACGGACAGGATGCCACCGGCTGGGGCAGGGGTGACTGCAAGGATCATGAAGTCTCTTGATTATCAAACAGTGTTGTGTGGACTTTGAAACCAAACAAATCAGCTTTGATGAGTTGGGTGCGAATAAATCAGAGTCACATGAATTAAAATCCTCTGCAACGTGAAATGATTTTGAAATAAAAAAGGACTCAGCTGGAATATCCCCCATGTCCCCCAAACAAATTGTTTTTTAAACTACTTTAAGGCATGTTCCCGAGCTTACCAGTGCCTGTGGTCTGCTTGACAGCAGGTGCTTTTCAGTGAGTAGTTGGGATTGGTTTTTTGGCAACTTGGAATAGTCCATAGTGCAGCTCCTTTTCTTCTGAAAAAGACTCTGCTATCTGACATCCCAGGGCAGGGACAATTAGGCAAACAGTCTAGACTACCAAAGCCTTAGGGGCAAAACACTTTGCAGATAGACAAATCAAACCATTGAACCAGGAAGGCAAAACTCGGTGTTTGGCAAGACAAAAATTTAGTTTGTTTCTACTGCTGGTCAGGCTGGGAAGATATTACTTCTTGATGAGAATCCTGAAATCAGTAGAGTGACTTATCACTGATAGTCAGCTGCCCACCTCTGCATTATTCTAGACACAATAAATAATTACTTGCAATAAAATAATCCAAAAGTTCCATGCTCCTGCCTGTGTTCTTCTCTACTTTTCTGCCACTTACATGGAAGAATAAAGAACAGCTGGAGAATCTTCATCTCACACCACTCCTCTCACTGCCCATGACATACTTGCCTTCTTGCATTTCCTTGAATCCAGGAAGCTCTTTCTTGGCTTGGATTTTAGCAGCCATTTCTCCCTCTGCCACCAAGGTTCTTCCCTCCAATTTTGCACAAAAACCTGAGACTCTTTCCACTCTCAACCCAAATGTCACTTCCCCAAGGAGCACATCCCTCCACCCTACCCCTCATCCACCTGAATGCTTTCCGTCCTATCATTCACCAATATTTGTAATGAGATGTGTCATTTTTATTTGTCAAACATCTCATTCTCTCACTTATCTGTACTCTCCTTGGGGAGGGGGTTTGGGTATTTTGCTCTACCCTACCCACTTACCTTTCATCTAGAAACCAGACTCTGCCAGCCAAAGGGGCTGGAATTCAGAGCCTTAGAGGAAGACACAGACTCAGCCAGTGCTAACAGAACAAGAGCCATCTATCACTTCCCCATCTGTGACAGCCTAGATGGATTAATAATCTTGGTTAGTCTGAAAATAACTGGTAGATGCATCTGGCCTATGCTTTCCCTTGGCTTATGAATTCCTGTAATGGCACAGACTGGAGTTTGCCCACCTCATCCTTCAAGCCCTTCTCAAAGCCCATCTCCTTCATCATTCCTTTCCTGTTCTTCCCAGGATGAAGTGTTTGCTCCCACCTCAGATTTCCCAGAGTAAATCCTGTTTATTCCCTACAATGGGCAACAAATCTTTCATGGGCCTGTAGCAACCCTTTCAGTTTTGTCTTGAGCTCTTAAATCTCTTTTTGTTTAACTTTCAATATTCATTCATTCTTTTACCTTATAACATCCACTCATTCTCTGGCCAATATGTAAAGTATAGACCATATGAAAGAATAACGATCTTGCCTTGCTAGATCGGATCTAGCAAGCAGTCAGTGGTCTGACGTAAAACATATCTGATTCCATCCCCCTTCTACCCAAACCCTCCAATGGCTCCCAGCTCACTCAAAATAAAATCCAGGGTCCTTACCACAATCTACAAGCCTCTACAGGAACTGCTTCATGCTGATCTCTTAACTTCACCTCCTACCATTCTCACATTTCTTCATCCCACTCCAGGAATCCTCTGCTATTTCTCCAGCATACAAAGTATGTACTACCTCAGGACCTTTGCACTTGCTTTTATGATAGAATCCTATTCAGCCACATGCACTTCCTTAACTGGGCAGGAATATTTCACACCTCTGCCTATGATCTTCATCCTAACCTTACCTACCTGGTAGCATCATGCTTTTCTCTGCCTCAGACATCTGCCTGGCTCATTCACTTAATTCATTTAGGTCTTTGCTCAAAATTCAACATCTTAGAGAGATTATCCTTGGCCTTGATCACACTTGTCACACTTTATTTTTTTACCTTGTTCTTCTTTTCTCTCTAGCCCCTATGACTACCGATTTCATATAGACCTACTTATTTCCTTAGAGTCTATCCCACTATTAGAATATCCATGCTTGCTTACAGTTAGGACCATGTCTGTTTTGATCACCACCCTATCACTGGTAACAAAAACAGGGCTTGGCTTGACACTTAGTGGGTGCCCAATATATATAATGAGTTTAATGAGTTCTTTCAAAGAATTATTACTGAGCACCTCTGTATTAGTGCTGGGTATTCAGAGATGAATAAAACACTGCTCCAACCCTTGAGGAACTGGAAAGCTTGGGGCTAGGGAGAGAAAAGCAGATATGGAAACAATTAAGTGCCTGCCAATGATTCAAGTATAATAGAAGATTATATACATATGATGCACTCTGGAGCCCTGAGGGTTAATTCTACCTTTTCTAGAGAGTTCCTAGAGGAAGGGATACTCACAGGGTTTTGAAGGAGGAGTTGGAGTCAGATCCCACCAGGAAATTGAGTATGATTCTATCATAAAGCTGTATAGTAGGCAGAGCCTGTGTCATGAGGGTGCTTGTAGGCTATTGGAGGAGTTTGGATATTGTCCTGAGTGCAGTGGAGCTCCTTGGGGTTTTAAATAGGGAGGTGCTTCTGAGTTAGCTTCTGCCTTTGTTCAGACTGCTACAAAATACCATAGATTAGGTGGCTTAAACGACAGATATTTATTTCTCACAATTCTGGAGGCTCAAAGCCTGAGATGAGGGTGCCAGCCAGGTCAGGTTCTTGGTAGAGCCCTCGTCCTGGTTCACAGATAGCCATCTTCTTATTGTATCCTCACATGGTAGAGAGCAGATGGAGAGGGTCAAGCCCTGTGTTGTCTCTTTTAATAAAGCTGTCAATCCCATTCATGAGAGGTCCCTCTTCGTGACCTAATCACCTCCCAAAGGCCCCACCTTCTAAGACTATCACATTGAGGATTGGGATTTCAACACATGAATTTGTGAGGGACACAAACATTCAGTCCATAACAGTTCTCTTAATTAATTCAAGAAAGTGCCCTATGTAAAACTGCAAATCCAGAGTGCCTCAAACATAAATGTTTTTTTAGTGGTCTGTGTTGATTTGAATGCCTACATCTTCTGATAGTAGCATCTCAATTTTCCTTTGAATAACATTTGTAGTTAAACTGATGATTTTCCTCCAGTATCTGTTGTTATCTTCTTCCATGGTAAGAGAGCTTGTTCAGAGCTCATGGCCACCTAGCTAATGTGCTTTGCAGCTTCCCATGCAACCAGGAATGCTCGTGTTGGCTAGATATTGGCCAATGGGATGTGAGCACAACTTCCAGATGCTGTTTTTGAAAGAAGAGGGCCCTCCCCTTTCATTGTCTTCCTTCCTGCTGGCTGGTGTGCAATGATGCCTGGAGGAGCAGGCATCCTTGGACCTAGACATAGAAGTTACAAGTTAAGAAGAGCAATGCACCTACCCCAAACAGCTCCAGGACAATAGAAACGAACTGCCATCTTGTTTAAGTTACATATTGTGAGACCCTTTCTTATAGCAATTTACACTGTTCTCTAATACAAGTTCCTCTCCCAATTGTTTGCAGTTTTGGTGGCCCTGTCAGTCAAGACACCTTGTGGTGTGTGGTCAATTAGTTGTTATGTGACCCAAAATAAGCAAATGAGACCTTCTCTCTTATAAGAAAAGAATAATGAGTATCCTGAAACACTCATGGAAAGCAATGAGAGCTGATTAATAATCTCAAATATTACATTTTAAGGATAGTAGCTCTTGCTACCTAGATATTGGAAGCCTCCAGAAGCTTACCGTTTGTTTTGCTGTTCAGCTTTTCTTTCAAATCACTGGCATAACTTGTGTCCTTGAAACAAACTGTTTAAGTTAGCATGAACTGCCAAGTGATAGAATGCTTTATGGCTGCCTACTCATTTGATGTGATTCAAATTGTTGCTGTAAAGTCTAAATGTTTATTGGTTAGTGTCTAGCCTGGAAGATAGAGGCACCCAACCTAGGTGGCTCAAAAGAAAGGATTTAATGTACTTCACTAGTTACAAAGGTGTGGAAAGAGCTGAAAAGACAAACAGGACATGGGAAACACCTCATGAAACTTGCAAGAGCAGAAATCTGCTACAACCCTGGGACAGGAGGGAGTGAGGGAAGAGGTGGTATTACTAGAGCTCAGAAATAGGCATTACCCAGTGGGAGCTGGGGCCATGGAGGAACACAGAGGAAGCTGGAACCACGTGGGAAATACAGCCACTGCTGGAGTCTCCACCACACCAAAAGACAGTGTGTGAAGTATGGGAGAATGACCTTAACATCTCCCACCATCCTATCCTCCGATCTGCCAATCCTCCATGGCAGACTTCCATTGGCTGAACTCAACCAGAAGCAAGGGACATTGGGAGCTGTAATTTGTAGCAGTCAGCCATCCACTGGAAAGGAGCGAGCTGAGGAAGAGCAGGAAGTAGATTGGAGAAAAACAGGCACAAAAGGGACAAGAAGAGTCCTTCTCCATAATTTGTCTCCCTTACACTCTTGTTGGCTTTCAACATGGCGGCCCAATGGGGGAAAACTAGGGTGGAGAAGAAGAAAAGCACATTGCATCATTGTATTGCCTGGTGCAATCCTACCATCCACCAGCAGGTCTCTAGGTAGCCCCTTTACAGACTTCAGTCTGGACCAGTGGCCTGGCCACCCCACTCCTGAATCCATAAAGTCCACCAGGCCTGCTGGTAAGCAGAGTCCTGTCTTTTGCTGGGTCCCAAATAACTGGAGGTGACTCACCTCCGTCCTGAGCTCTGGGCAGGGCCAGGACAGCAGAAATCAAGCCCTCTTCCTGTCTATAGAGTTTGATGAATTCTCTACCAGTTGCTTCTACCCTCAGAATTAAAAAATAATGTTTGTGCAGCCCAGCCCATTAGCGTGCTTCCCTGGTGACACAGCCTCCTCCACCTCTTCGCTGCAGGCCTGCCTTTCCGAGTTCCAGCCAGAGCCCTTGTTAACATGCTCTCTGAAAGTCATTTTTGGACCAGAAATAAGGCAGTGGGGCCAAAGCTCACTTTGTGGAAAGATTTTATTTCCATCTGAGTCCACTTCAAGGAACAGCCAGGGATTACTTTTGCTAGCTTTTTTTAACCTCCCCCCATCACCACCAAAAAAAATAAAAATAAAATTGCCAGGCCTTTCTGAAGCAGATTTATGGTATTGCTTGGCAATCATGTTTCAAACTATGGAGATCAGAAGCCCCTTCTTTGGGGATGTCTCCAAATTGGCTGGCACCGCTAAATATAGGCCAAATGAAAAACATTCATCAAGCTTGGCATGGGCAGTCTCTTTCAAGCCCGGTTTGACAGAACTTGGTGCAATGCTGAAGGGGTCCAGCTAATTTCCTATATGCTAGTTAAAGCTAAGAACTCATCCAACTTCAAGTAATAAGGAGAAGTAATAAGACAGATAAAGAAACTTAAAATTGAGGGGTTACCCCCAGTTATGTTCCCAAAACCAGTGGTTACCAGATTTTAATGCTGCACCCAGTCACCAGGGGATTCTAATTTGGTTGGTCCAGGGTGGGGCCTGGGATTCAGCATCTCTAACCAGTTCCCAGGTGATGCTAATGCTCCTGGTTCAGGACCACACTTTGAATAGCCAGGACCTGGACAGTGGTGTACAAAGCAGGGTACCTAAAATAATCCTTTGGGGTTTGAGGGAAAATACCAGAACTTCTATTTATTTTGTAGCTCATCCCTTTCACTTCTAATTTTTGCATATAGTTATAATGGGGTTTTAAAACTTTATTTTTATTTTAAGTTCTGGGATACATGTGCAGGATGTGCAGGTCTGTTACATAGGCAAACGTGTGCCATGGTGGTTTGCTGCACCTATCAACTCATCACCTAGGTATTAAGCCGCATGCATTAGCTATTTTTCTCGATGCTCTCCCCAACCCGGCCCTCCTGACGAGGCCCAGGGAGTGCTGTTCCCCTCCCTGTGTCCATGTGTTCTCATTGTTCAGCTCCCACTTACAAGTGAGAACATGTAGTATTTGGTTTTCTGTTCCTGCATATATGTGTATAAACCTAACGTACATGAACATATATAGGTATGTGTGCATATATACAATCCATCCTAAATTTTGTTTTATTTTTGAGATGGGGGTCTTGCTATATCACCCAGGCTGGTCTCAGGCTCCTGGACTCAAGAGATCCTCCTGCCTCAGCTTCTCAAGTAGCTGGGACTATAGGTGCAGGTACCTCTGCACCCAGCTCTCCATTTTTTATACTGGTGAAAGTGAAAAATATTTAAAATTTGTAGGCCTCTGACCAAGTTCACAAAGAATGTACTTCCTCAGACACTTGGAAGAAACCTATCAACATAGAAACCTCTTCTCCAAGTTGCTTATTAGCTTTTTCTACAACGGAGAGCTACTTTTATATGAATAGGAACGTATCATTGAGCACCTATTATGTACCTAATCCTGTGTGAGAGGTTTTACCTCTTTATCTTGTGAGTAATGTTCACAAAGAAGGTACTTCCTCAGACACTTGGAGGAAATATATATAACATAGAAACATCTTCTCCTTGTTGCTTATTAGCTTTTTCTACAACTGAGAGCTAAGTTTTTTGTGAATAGGAACTTATAATTGAGCACCTATCATGTACCTAACACTGTGTGAGGGGTTTTACCTCTTTACCTTGTGACGTAAATAGTATTACACCCACTTTACAGATGAAGAAACTGAGGCACAGATCAGGGAAATAACATACCTAAGTTCCTTCATCTAACCACCACTAGAGTGTCAGGCTCAAATTTGATTCAGAGAAAATACAAAAAGAGGCAAAATGCTGCAGTCCCCAAGTCAGCCACTACTAAGAAGGGGTAACAAGAGGTCCTGAACTGTGGTGTCTGAACATTTTCCTGTTTACCTGTATTGGTCAAATTAAACAGCCAGCGTGGCCTATACTTTATATACCTCCAGCAGCTTTGCAGAGGCAAATTCACAAAATTCAAAAAGCAGCTGTGTGTTCAAATTGGCAGACTTTCTTGTTGGTATCTCAAGCCCTGGGAGAGATTAAAGCAACCTGCAGTCTGTGATCAGGACTCTGGGTTCTCCTCCTTGTCTGTTTTCTTTTCGAAATAAACTCCCCCTTTTCCCCCTAGGAACTTACTACGTGGCAGATACTAGCATCAGCATTTCATGTGCATTATCTCCATTAACCCTCACAGAAACCACCAGAAGCTGCTACTAGTGTCCCCACTTACTGGTCAGGAAATTGAAACTTGAACAGAGTAAAGGCATCCCAGGAACGGAACATGCCAACATTAGTGCCAGAGTTGGCTCGAGGTGTATCTGGTTCCAAGGCTCAGTTCTGAAGCCATGTGCTCTCGGTCTTTCCCGCTGGATTCTTCATCCTTCCTTAGCCCCATATGGGAGAGCTGATGTTCACTGGTTCATTACGCTGACACCCAGCTGGCTTGAGAGAAGAGAAAGAACCTGTCACACCTCAACCCTGCTTACCTGGGACCCAGGCGTGGAGGGACACAGGTGCCAGCCAAAGCCTCAGACGCAGTTCCAGTGGAACACACAGGTGATGTCTCCATCGCTCTGCAGTTGACAAAGCAGGTGTTCTGGCTCCCTGGGTCTGGGTGAAGTTTTCTTTGGAACCAGTTAGGGTGTGAAGTTTGAGGAAACTGGCAGATCCAGGGTGCCTAGAGCTAGAGGGGTTGTTTTTACGTTGTAAGTCAAAAAGAGCCTTGAGCAGAAATGTCCTCACCTGCTGCAGAATCAGGCATCCTCTGCCAAGGAGGGCTGGGAGGCATGGAGGCCTCTCAGACATGGAAAGGGGCCCGTGTGTGTGCATGCGAGTGTGTGTGTGCATGTGAGTGAGTGTGTGCATGTGAGTTTGTGCACATGTGTGTGTGTGTGCATGCGAGTGTGTGTGTGCATGCAAGTGTGTGTGTGAGCATGTTTGAGTGTGTGTATGTGAGAATGTGAGATATTGTGTGTGCATGTGTGTACGTGAGAGTGTGTGAGGAAGTGTATGTATACATGTTTCAGTGTATATGTATGTGGGAGTGTACATGTGTATGTTTGACTGTATGAGTGTTTATATGTGAAAGTGTGTGTGAGTGTGGGAGAGAATTCTGCGTATGTATGTGAACCTGTGTGCACGTGTGAGTGTGTATGTGTGTGTGAAGACGTGTGCATGTATGTGTGGACATGTTTGAGTGTGTGTGTAAGAATGTGCACGCGTGAGTAGGCTTGAGCGTGTGCATGTGAGAGTGTGAGAATGTGAACATGTTTGAGTGTGTAAGTATGTGTGAGTGTGTGTATGAAAGTGCACGTGAGAAGAATGCGTAGGTGTATGTGAACGTGTTCATGTGTGTGTACGTTTGAGTGAGAGTGTATGTGTGTGTGTGCATATTTGAATATGCATGCGTTGGTGGGTAGTATGCACAATTTACGGCAAAAGAGATGCCAACCACCTCTGCTATTGGTCTCCAATTCACCACCTGATTCCCTCCTCTGGGAATGTCCTAATGTATTCTGAGCTAACATGACAACTAGGGTCATGGTTATATTTATATTCAAATCAGAGACAAGACAGCATCATGCCTAGTAACACCGCATTGGAACTGGAGAACCCTGGGTTCTGATCCCAGCCCTACCACTCTCTTAGCTCTGTGACCTTGGGTAAGTCACTTGGTCTGGGGAACTTCCTTTCTTCATCTGTAGAATAGGCGTAAGACCCTCCTCACTGTCTTCTTGTGGGGACTAAACAAGAAAATGTACATAAAATGCCCTATCTGGTGCTTGGTATATAGTAAATATTCACTGCATGGTGGTTTTTACAACAACAATAATAATAAATCTGGACAGTGTTTAGGAGTAGAAAAGTTTTTAGGGTAATAAGAGAAAGAAGAATAGACACTCAAGGAAGTCTATCAAACAGAAACTAGAATAGAGACTGGAAAGAGAAGTTCCAGCCAGCATGAATCAGAAAACTATCAGCGGGAATTCCGATGACATGTGTTGGCAGGAAACAGGCGGCCCAGTCAAAAGGAGTAACTGCGAGAATTTAAGGATGCTATTTATAAAGGTGTGGGCAGGACTAAGGAAATCAGCAAGGGATGGAGAGGCGCATCAGAGACACTGAGGAGCTGGTGGTATCAATAGCCCTGAAGGAGCAAAGAAAGAGAATGTCATTGAAATTCAGAGAGAAAGAGAGAAGAGAGGTCTCCTGACAAAAGCTGAGATTTCTAGTCAGGACGCTGCCAGCCCTAGGCAACCTGGCAGTGAAGGAACCAGGGAAACAAAGGCGCCAACTTCACTGCCCCCTGCCCCTCACATCACTTATGGTGCCTCCCATTGTCTGAATCCAGCTGGGAGCCAGAGACAAGAAGTCAAATGATAGAATCTTTACAGGGCAGCCACATGGGTGGAGAAAAATGGAGAATGGATGGGAAGGGGCAAATGGAAGATTCCCGGCATGTGAGTCTAGTGTGTCTGTCAGGATTGCATTGCTCTACTAGTCAAAGAGACCTAGGACAAGCAAGATAGGGATTTGTCTTATCTTATAGAAAAAAGAAAAGTATAGGCCGGGCGCAGTGGCTTATGCCTGTAATCCCAGCACTTTGGGAGGCCGAGGCGGGCAGATCACAAGGTCAAGAGATCGAGACCATCCTGGCCAACATGGTGAAACCCTGTCTCTACTAAAAATACAAAAATTATCTGGGTGTGGGGGCGCACACCTGTAGTCCCAGCTACTCAGGAGGCTGAGGCAGGAGAGTCGCTTGAACACAGGAGGCAGAGGTTGCAGTGAGCTGAGATCACACCACTGTACTCCAGCCTGGCGACAGAGAGAGACTCCATCTCAAAAACAACAACAACAACAAAAAGTACAGAGGTAGGCAGGGCCACCATGTTGCCTAACTCCAGGGACCTCTGTTCACAGCATAAACAGCGAATGGTGCTCCCTGAAGTTAAGAAACAAAGGCTAGCAAGTGACATAGTCAGTGTCTCAGGTTGCCTATGTTTTTCTGCTCTGCCATCCTTAGCACTGGCTTTCATCCTCAAGGTTGCCTCATGATCACAGGTGGTTGCTAGAGCTCCAGCCATCACATTAGGAAGAGGAAGGAAAGCAAGAAGGGGCAAAAGCTCTCTGGAAGCTCCACCCAATGACTTCTGCTTATATCTATTTCATTTGCCATCCCTACTGCAATGATGCTGCAAACTCTAATTTCTTTTTAACTTGACATCATCTCACTCCCCGCCAAAAATATGTGAGACTTTAATTGAAGAAGAAAGAGAATAATTATTGCCTCTGCCTCAAATAAGTACTGAGTTGGGAGTCAGAAGGCCTAGGTTCTGGTCTCTACTTTTATTCTAATTGACTGGATGATCTTGGGCAAGATACCAGTTAATCACTCATTGGCCTGTGATTAGCTACTATGCCTCAGCTTCAGGCTGTGGGACTGAATTCAGTTCTTATCTATGTATCCATCACTTTGAAACCCAAGTTAAAGCTTCACCAACCACTCAAGGCATACTCTTCTCATGGTTCAGGGCAGGAGTACAAAGAAACAAACCAATACTATATAAGCACATTTAAAGTTTCTACTCAGAAGGGATATAGAGTACATCTGCTCACATCTATTAGGCAAAGTAAGCCACAGGAGCAAGACTGAAGTCAGTGGGGCAAGGAAGTATATTCCTGATACAGTAAACCATGACAAGAGTGGCAAAAGAAGAAGGAATTATAAACAAATAATACAATCTTTGTTTAACTATTGTCTTGAGGTATTGAGCATTACCTCAATTAATTCTCACAATAATTGTTTATGATAGGAACTTTTACCATTTGACAGTTTAAAAAAAAAAGACAAAAACTGAAGCTCAAGGGGTTAAGCAGCTTGTTGAAGGTCGCAAAAGTGTCAGACCTGCAGCTCAAACTATCTGAATCCTGAACCCAAGCTCTTAACTTTCAGGCTAGCTGTAGAAATCTAGTCTGATTTTGATGTCCCTTAATTTCACATTTCCTGTAGTTCTTCTGCCACATTAGCACTGTTTATTTTCTATGCAATGAAATGTTTTATGATGCTTCAGCCCAGCAGCTCACCTGTAAGCCCACAGCATTTATGTAAATACTTCTATTATTAATATTATATGAGCCTTGTTTCTAATTTATTACAAAATCCAAGGCTGTCATCTTGGGAGCTATGTCTCCTATAAGCAATTGCATTCAGAAATGAAACAAATGTGAATGTATAGATATAGTATACACCATTGGGAGTTCACCCATAAGCTCCCAGTGCATGCCATTCCTGTGCATGCTGATGGCTCCTAGTGCAGGCATCCACAGCTCTCCCTTTGAGGGCTTCTCCCGGAATCTCGCTCCCGAGGTAGACCAGCAGTTCTGGTGAGCTGACACTCCCAGGAACAGCCCTCAGACAATGACAGGCTGGGGTTGGAAGATATGTACTCTATCTTTTTATCCCTCAGGTAGGACAACTCCAAGGCACGTTCTGTATTGTGTCTCAGAGTTCCCCAGCAGGAATGAGCCTCAGTTACCCATAACAGTAACCTACTCATTAACACATGCTGTATGAACTTCTTGCCTTTCAAATTTCTCCACTCCCACTCCCTTACTGGTGCTTACTGGAATCACCTCCAAAAGCAAAACAAAATGAAATAAAAATTTATGAGCACTCAGATACTTGTTTTGGGGTTTACCTCTGAGGAAACACTACTAAGACGAGAGGTGACTCATTATTATTTTATTATTGATGAAAAGTAATTGGCATCCTCTACCTTGGTGGTAACTACTTGCATTCCTTTCATTTGTTTACTTCCAACAAGGTTTAACTTTTCAAGGAGGGATCCCACAGGCTCCAGTGAAGGCTTTGAATACTCTCAGAAGAAAAATGGACATTCGCATAAAATGCATCTCCCAGGACTCTTGTAGGCCCTAGATTGATTTATTCAATACAGAAAGACAGAGAGAAAGCTACAGGGAAGCCCTAACTGAGGCAAGAGATCCAGAGCTCCAGCTCTGGGGGAAAGTTCATAGACTACTGCTAAGCTAATAGCCTCTTCCATTTCTGGCTTAGCCAAGTTCAGGAACATCATCCTTCATAGCTCTAAAAACTAGACTAAGCAAAAGCCAGGCAAAAACTCATTGTCAGAAATTCTTCATTCTGTGCCTGGGAGTGCACTCTTGGTTGTTTAGGTTGCTTATCTGCTGGCCCTGTGTTCACCTCTTCAGTTCTCCGAAGCCTTCACCCTCCACGGCGTCACTACCGACTTCAAAGCCTTCTCCACCCTTGGAAGTGACTCGTGGATGTGTAGGTGGCAGGAGGAGGAGGGAGCCGCGAGCAGGACTCCAGCCTCTTGCCTTTTGGCAAAGAAGCGAGGGCTGCTGCAGAGGCCAGAATTAATTCCTCCTGCTAGCCAGAAGGCCAACACGTTGGGATGAGCCAAGCACGCACCCACACCCCCACAAAACCAGGCTTCCCTTTCCTCGGGGTAGATTTCTCCAGTCCACTTTCATTAGCCTGGCTCCACAATTTGATAGTGGGTGGAAAAATGGGCTTTGAAAGCAGCCAGCCAAGCTTGAATTGGAATCCAGGGCTCAGTGGAGAATGACTTCACTTTTCTAGGCCTTACTTTCCTCATCTGCAAAAGAGAATGTCAGTATCTCTTTTACCAAATTGTTTTAAGAATCAAGGAGAAAACTAAAAATCATGTGTCAATGAGAACACAGCACACAGTAGGTGCTTCATAACTGCCAACTTCGATTACTGTCATCGTTATTACTACTACGCCCAAAGGCCCTTGGCTGGTTTCCCTCACTAGCCTTAATTCCATTTCTCTGCTTTCCTCTCCTTTCTTTGCATGCTAGAGGACGTAATTCATCTTGCTCCCCTCCGAAATCCTGCCTCCCTTGCAATATTCTCCTGGGTTTTTTCAGAGCCGTGCTACCACCTGGAATTATCCCAGCGGCCTCTTTCAGAGGCAATAAGATCTTTCTTTGTGAAAAAGCCACAGCAAAAACCAGTTGAAGCATTTTAGATGTGGTCTGACCACTGCCCGTTCAGTTCACCCAGAACAATGTCTCCTCTATGGAGGCTGCGTCGTAAATATCTTACTTGCTTATCCTAGGCTAGGAAGTGGTCTCCGGGGCCAAGAGATTGCTTTCTTCTCGTTTATTTATGGGGAAGACTTTTAAAATCCCACTCTTTGGGTCTGTAAAGCCCATTACTGACACCGACAATGGCAAGGTTTCACTAAAGCAAGGTACCTATGGCTCAGTGCCTCAGTTTCCTCATCTGGAAATGTGTCATGACCTCCTGTTACTAATTATGATGCCTGGTAAGACTATTACTATCATAAATAACAGTATTAAGAGAAACACCAGTTCTCAGTTGCTGAGAGTTTACAATGTTGCAGACACTGTGCTAAGTGCTGTGTTTCATTCATACCTCCATTAATACAGGTCATCGTCATTATCGTCCTCATTTCTCAGATGAGGAAATTGAGCATCAGACAGGTTACATACACATAGGCAAGATTATATGGTAATAAGAGGCAGAGCCAGGATTTGAACCTAGGTCAATGGGATCCCAAAGCCCAAAGCCTAACCACTCCCAACAAACTCCCACTCGGTAACCATGCTACCATAGTTACCATAGAGAACCCAGTAAGAAAAACTCACAGAGCATGACCAACACCGCTGGACGGGATGGAGTTTATCTTTCCTTCTATTATTTTTATTATAAGACCAGAACACCCTAGTAACTACCAGCCCCCGCAGCCTAAACAGGCGGTAACCAGGGCTTGCTTCGTGTTAATATGGTGAGCCTCACCCTAGAACTAATAACACAGCATCTGCGCTCTTCTATGACCCTCCAGTCTCTGGGAGCTATGAGCAAACTCATTCCCCTATAAAAACAAAGAAGCCAAATTGGTTTCAAAGCAGCTGTCTTTATTATCTGGAGGCAAGGAAAAGCTTACGAAAGCTTTCTTGGGATCTGAGCCTAGTTTTGCTGTCTTTCTGTAGAAGACCCCGAGGGGAGCGCCTGTTGAGTTAATTCTCTTAGCCTCAGTGCAGAGTGGGCACAGGCTGCCTCCTGGCCTTTAACTCAGAGCTGACATGCCCCCGTGATCCTCTGGGAAGCTCCAGGCTGGCTTCTGGAAGAATGGATAGAACCTTGAATGCCCAGCAGGAAGGGCCCTAACTGCGCCAACTAGAAGGCTTTCCACTCTTCAGCAGCAGCTGATGCGGGAAGACACGGTTCTCTTTGTTCTTGGGCTGGTCAACAAAATCTCTGCACTTAGTCTTCTCAGCTTGAGGCTGGGAGCTTAGTTTCTTCCTCTCCTACCATGAAGACATGGCAGGTGGTCAGTCCCACATCCAGAAGCCTCCACCAGATGTCCCCATGGGTGCCTTCTTCTGAACCATCAAATTCTCAACTCAGTTGTCACCTCCTCCAGGAAGCCTTCCCTGACTACTCAACCTAGAGCATCACATCTCCCTGTTTGTTTTCTTTTCACTATGAGAAATTACCTTGTTTGTTTAGATATTTGATGGCTTATTGACAGCACTCCCTGTCCTCCCCACCCTGGAATGTAGGCCCCAGGAGGGCAGAGTCCTTATCTGTCTTGTTCACTTCTGTGTTTCCAAAATCTAGAACACCGCTTGCTTGTAAACTAGATTTGTTGAATGAATAAATTCAACAAATAACTGATTGAATGAGAGACGGAAGATGAGTATTCACTTCTATTTGCTACTTAAGGAGAGAGAGGACTAATGAAAGCAAAGCAAAATGGATAAGCCAGCAGTCCTGTGAGCTCCATGAACAGCCACCACACTTCCTCATACCCCATCCCTGGCCCTTTTCTCTGTCCCTACTGAGTGGTTGGTTCTCCACCAGACTGAGCTCCTGGCAACCTGAGGCATTGTTTCATCTAGTTTCTTATCCCTAAAACCAGCACAGAGCTGGGTGTGAGCAGAGTGGGGCATCAGACTTTCGGGATTCAAACTCCACTGACTCATGTGTGATTTTTGACAAGTGACTTGTGCTCTCTAAAGCCAGCTTCTTCATCAGTACACAGGGATCATAATAGAACTTTCCTCCTAGAATCCACACGGGGATTAAATGCGACAGCTGTGTATAGTCTAGGCCAAACTTAATAATTATAATAATAGTTATGATCATCACTAAATGTGTTAAGGTCTTAAATGTATTATTACAGTACAAAGTGTTTTAAAATGTGTAAATATTATATACATATTTAAAATGTATTATTATTCAATATTCTTTTTTTATTATTATTATACTTTAAGTTTTAGGGTACATGTGCACAATGTGCAGTTTAGTTACATATGTATACATGTGCCATGCTGGTGTGCTGCACCCATTAACTCGTCATTTAGCATTAGGTATATCTCCTAATGCTATCCCTCCCCCCTTATTAAATATTCTTATGTCATAAATATATTATTATAAAATGTTTTCCTGTTTAAAATGTATTATTCAATGGTTTAGTGTTTTACATGTGGTATTTTTTAATGTTTGCTGAATAAAGAAATTTTTTAAATGAATGATTTCATTCCTCTCTCTTTCCCACCCTCTACCCCTTTTCCTCTGCAAATTGAGGGCTTAGGCTCTAAAACTTGGACTATGACAGCTCCATTTCTATTTCTGTCCTTGAGCCCACATTTCTTTCTATGCAGAAAAGTCTAAGGTGAGCATTCTTATGGAGAATAGCCCGAACAAGAGCTTTGCAATCTAACAGACCAGTATGTGAAGCCTGGCTCTATTATCTACCCCTTTAAGTTTCTCTTTTATTATTTGCAAAAAGAGACTCAGGAAATCTACCTACTTCACAGGTTCATTTTGAGGGTTAAAGGGGAGACTGCGTAAGAGAGGGCTCAGTCCAGACTATACGTATTTATTGAGCACATACTCCATGCCAGCTCCACTACTAGGTACTGGGGATAGCTCAGTAAACAATAACAGAGCTCCCGCTCTTATGGAGCCCTAGTGCAGCAGCCTGGTGTTTTTCCCTTTCTGAGTAGTGGACTCCATATTCCCTGGAAGGCCAAGATTCTCAAGTCCCTGTCTAATTATGTGGCTGTCTGCCTCCTCCAGCATTCTTTCTCCTCCATCCAACTCTCCTTCCTCTCATGTTCTTTATCTAACTCACAGTGGCAGACATTTAAAGAATATGGAGAGCTGAGTATGCAAGACACATAAAACTAGAAAGATGCTACCTTAGATGGTGAGCAACTGAGAGCAGGGTCGATGCTGTAGTGGGTACCGTGCTGATTGCCCAGATCCCACCTTGGACAGAAGCGTTATTCCCTCACCTGCTGGGAATATTGCCAGCTGATGGCTCTTAGCTGGTAGCCTCCCTGGAATTGCCCTTGGCTAAACTGCTTTTTCTCTCAAGGTTACATTCCCTCCGTGGGGCAGCCGACATCCAATGACTGGTCCATGCTGGTCTCTTTCTTCCAACTCAGGACAACTCAGAAAGGCAGTCCCAGTTCCAGCAGTCCCTGTGGGTCTAGCCAACGTCTTATAACTGCACCACTGCTCAGTCTCTCCTGCTGTTTAATATTGCTTCCTTCTCTCTCATCTTGCATAGTAATCTCCATCTCAGAGTCAGCCTCCCGGGTGAATTCAACCTGCAACACAGTGCTATCCTCAGTGTCTAGCATGTAGTCAGTGTCAATCAATATTTGTAGACTAAATGGTGTATTGTTTAGGATTCTTGTGATGGCAAACAACAGAAACCCAATTCAAACATAGGAGATGAGACACTCAAGTATCTGAAGAGCCAGCGCATGTCAATGTCATCAGGACTTGCTCTCTCTTCTCTGCTCAGATCTGTTCTCCTCCCTATTAGCTTTATTCCCAGTCCAACCGTCTTCATATGGTGGCTCCTTAAACATCAGGTTTGCATTTACCCAGCTTTCCCCACCTTTTACTGTTTATTATTTTAGTTGACAAATAAAAAGTGTACAACCCAGGCATGGTGGATCACGCCTGTAATTTGAGCACTTTGGGAGGCCAAGGTAGGAAGATTGCTTGAGCTCATGAGTTCAAGGCCAGCCTGAGCAACACAGTGAGACCCTCATCTCTACCAAAAAAATTTAAAAATTAGCCGGTCATGGTGACATGTGCCTGTGGTCCCAGCTACTCTGGAAGTTGAAGTGAGAGGATCATTTGAGCCTGCCAAGTTGAAGCTGCAGTGAGCCATGATCATCCCACTGCACTCTAGCCTGGGCCACAGAGTAAGGCCCTGTTTCCAATAATAATAATAATATTTGTACATATTTATCATGTACAACATGATGTTTTGAAACGTGTACATTGTGGAATTACTAAATCAAGTTCATTAACATACACATTACCTCCCATACTTTTTTTTTGCAGTGAAAAATCTTAAAAGTCCACTCTCTTAGCAATTTTCAAGAATGCAGTACATTATTATTAACTATACTCATCATGTTGTACAATAGGTTTTGCCACTCAGCTTTAAGACCTTCAGAGAGAGAGGACTTTTCTTTCCAACAGTACCCGAAAAAGTACTAAGGCTGAATTGCCTTGGCCTGGTCACATGACCATCCCTAAGCCAATTATTATGACTGATGAACTGACTTTCCTGATTGGCCAGGCTTGAGAGGCATGGGCATCCTGGGAGCTGGAGAGAAGGGTCAACTCCACCTAAATCACAATGATAGCAGAGAATCAGTGGTTCTCCTAAGGAAAAACTGGAAAATTCTGCTATAAAAAGGGAGAATAAATGTAGGGCAGTGAAAACTCCAAGGGGGCCGCTACAAAGAATTTATAGAAAAAAATTCACCTTACAACTTTGATCCTTCCTTTTTCCATTATTCATGCTTCCCAGCACTTAGGTATTTTGGGAGAACGTTCAGTCTTCCCTGAAGATACAAATGACACTATCAGCTGAGAAAATGTATAGGCATTCTATGCATCCACTAATAGAACAATCAGGAATCTTAAAAAGTACCTGCAAAATTCCTAGAATCTTTGCAAACCCAGCTCTAATATCATTGCCTCCTAGAAGTCTTTCCTAAATCATTCCAGAAATAATCCTTTGATCACTCTCTTCGGGGTTGCTCTGTCCCCATTGTACTGACTCCATAAGGTGCCATTATCTATTTCGATGTCTCTTCCACTGACCTATGAAGCTATACATAATTGAGCTTCTCAGAGAAATATTCTCTATACAATGGAAGCTAAATGTAGACTTCTTCAGGGTCTGTTCTCCAACTGGTAAATAGGTGTTTGGCCAGGTTGCGTGAAACCTGCTAAAGGAATCCCTAAAAAGGTTTGTGGAGATTCTAGAACTTCTCTTTCACAGAGCTTGCCATGATCCCTGGGTGTATAGTCAATGATAACAATTGCTTATGTTTCTAAACACTTTCTTGTGCATGCCTTTTATCTGTTCTTATTATCAGCAGCAGTCATTATTTTATGTCTCATTTGTTGAGTTCATGATGTGTACCAGCCCCTGAGGTAAGCACCTTACCTATATCATTATATTCATTCCATATGGCCTTAAGAGGGAGGTATGACTTATTTTATAGATGAATAAGCTGAGAATCTCTCAGAGAAGTCAAGTGATTTGCTCATGGCTATGCAGCTAGTAAGCAGTGGAGCCAGGGCTCAAACCCAAGTCTGTTTGGCTCTAAGACACTTGATGTTAAGCAATGAGCTAGTATTATGCATTTCATCTTTACAAAGTCCTGTGAGGGAAGCAAAAACGATCTGCTTATCCCCATTTTACAGATGGGAACTTGAAGTATGGATTATTAAGGGGAAATTTACAGAAAGTCACAAATATATCCTAAAGGGCATAAGGATCAGCTATGCTTCTGCAAGAGATGGTTGTTATTAATTCAGAAAAGGGAAGCGAGGTGCAGAGAGCAGCAAGCCTGAGGAACACTTACTCTCCCAGAGATGTCTGGTTTCAGACACGTGCGTGAATTAAGCACTTGGCACAAAATAGACTCTGGATAGACGTGAGCTGAGGCCGAAGCCATGGACGCAGCAAGCACAGGGGACTCCTGACAGATGTGATATTTCATGTGGGACCATTCATTCACATGATGGATGTGAGGTGGCGAGGCTGAGCCCAGGGTCCCATAGAAACCGGCATCCATGGGGAAGCACCTCACATGCCACAGCCCCCTACCCACTTAGACTTGGAGCCAGCTCCCAGTACTGCCTGCGGGCTCCTCCCCTCCTTCCTCAGCAATAAGCTCCACTGTGGAACTTTATCAAGTGTTTCCTGACCCTGCAGTAAGTACCTAACATTGCCTGTACTCTCCCTATTCCACCACCCCCGCCCCCGCCCCCGCCACAGCCTGCACCTTGGCTGCAATATCTCCTCCTCATAAATCACACAGCCATATTAACTGTCTCTCAATCAATCTCTTCCAGGTGTTGGCTCAGACAGTCTCTCAAGGAGAGTGTCTCTCCCCTTGAGGCTTAGGCGCTAAGAGCCTCCTCGTCTGGGAACAGTTTAAAGCCAGATAGCTTCTTTTCTTTCTCAGGATTTCTTGGTTCAAACTTGAGACCCCCAGGATCCACAGACTGTAGAGAGCTTTGAAAAACCTAGGAGAAGGTCAAACAGGCTCTAGGGGCATTTATCAACAGCCAAAGGCTTGGTAAATATTGCCAATGTTCGATATTTCCACCAGCACATATACTGCAAAGGAAATCTAAACCTCAAAGCTAGGGCTTGAAGCTGAAAGTGTTGGATTTTCCAAATTCAACTATAAATATGAGTTTGTTTTAGACAGTTGCCATTTCACATTGTCTGCTCCCTTTATTGGACACTTTGGTGAGTGTGGCAGAGATAATGCTATGTATTCATAAAATTCCATTACAATCTTTTATTTCCCACAATCATTAGTTAGTTTGAGGACATGTGACTAGGTCCTGGCCAATGGGAGTTAAACAAGCATATCCTACCACTTCCAGGTTTGGCCATGAGATTCCCTGAACAATCATCCATAAACTTCTTTCCTTTCCTCAATTACCTAGGAGGTTGTGTATTCAAAATGGAAGGAGGCTTGATCCCTGAATCACCACCTGGAGGAGAGCTGCCAAAGACGGCTGCCCAATCCATGTGATGAAAGTGAGAGTGTCAAGCCACTGAGTTTTAGGGGTTTATTGCTGCAGCATTACCTAGTCTACCCTAATACAATTAGATTCAGAAAAGCCTATCAGTTTGCAAGATATGACTGCAACCTACTTACATACCGCCTTTCATAACCCATCTTCACTTGTAAATGCCATAGCAGCTGTGATTAGTGGTATATCCAGTGGCAAGGAACATCAACTGTTGAGTTGATACTTAATTTGCTGTAAATCAGGCTATCAGTTTGCCCCACTAATTAGACTTAAAACTCTATCAAGGAATCATAGAACAGTGGTTAAACATGTGGGCTCTAGACTCAAGCAGACTTGGGTTTGAATACAGCTTAATCATACACACTAATGTGTGAACTTAGTCAAGGCTTAACTTTCAACTCCCTCATCTGTAGAGAAGAAGAGTATTTGTAGTAGATACTGTTGCCTGCATATTATTATGGTTGCTCTTTTCCCAGATCCCTTCTTTAGAATTGAAGGATTGACTCTCCACCAGAAAGATTGTCAGCTGACAGCCTTCAGATGCCAGAAATAGCCTCATCAGCAGAAAGCTACCTCTTCCAAGGTCACAATACTTTCCTGGGATGACCCAAGTCCAGTGATGGATTCATGGGGAGGTATAAAAGTCTGATCTTCTTTCTTCCTGTTCCCAACTTGGGACAGCTCAAAAAGGCCATCCCAGCTTCAGAGCTTGTGATGGAGAGTTCCTAAGATGGTCCCAATGATCTCTGCTTCTTGATTCTCATGTCTTTGTATCATCTCCTCCTCAAGAGCATGGCAGGATCTGTGACTTGCTCCACTGTGATGGAACACAGTGGTGATTGGATGGAACACTGTGATGAACCAAGTGGCCATGTTGGGAAGACCCATGTGGCAAAAAAACTAAATGTGGTCTCCTGCCAACAGCCACCAAGAAATGGAAGCCCTGAGGCCTACAATCTGCAAGAAATGGAATTCTTCCAATAACCACAGGGGCCTGGAATAAGATCCCCCCCTCAGCCAAGCCTCCCACTCTGTCTGACATCCTGATTGCAGCCTTGTCAGAGACCTTGAATCAAAGGACAAGCAAAGCTATGCCTGGACTCCTGACCCACCAGAACAGTGAGATACTAAATGTGTGCTATTTTAAGCTGCTAACTTCGTAATTTGTTATATAGAAATAGACAACTAATATTAAGCTTTCTGTGGGGTTGGCTAAAGCCTTCATTAAGACTGTATTACATGGGAGGCTGAGGCAGGCAGATCACTTGAGGCCGGAAGTTTGAGACCAGCCTGGCCAACATGATGAAACCCCTTCTCTGCTAAAAATACAAAAATTAGCTGGGCATGGTGGTGTGTGCCTGCAGTCCAGCTACTTGGGAGGCTGAAGCTGAAGAATCACTTGAACCCAGGAGGTGAAGTTTGCAGTGAGCTGAGACTGTGCCACTGCACTCCAGCCTGGGTGACAGAGCAAGACTCTGTCTCAAAAACAAAAACAGAAAAGACAAAAGTGCATCACAGCCCTGCTCCTTCCTCTGTTTACTCTTGCTTCCTTTCCTTCCCTTTCACAGTTGTTGGTCCTAAGAGCACTCCTGTCTTCGCTCACTTTCTGCTGCTATAACAGAATATCACAGACTGGGTAATTTAAAAACAATAGAAGTTTATTTGGCTCAATTGGCTTACAGTTCTAGAGGCTGGGAATTCTAAGAGCATGGCACTAGTATCTAGTGAGAACATGAGACAGAGACATGTGAGGCATTAATCCATTCATAAGGGCAAAGTCTTCATGAGCTAATCACCTCTTAAAGTCCTCACCTCTTAATACTATTACAATGGCAATTAACTTTCAGCATGAGTTTTGGCCAGGACATTCAAACCACAGCAGTTCCCTAATAAATCTCTTGCACTCTAAATTCTTAGGGTCTACTTCTCAGAGAACCCAACCTGTGACACCTATTTAATATCTACTTGTTCCCTTTTCTGTTTTGCTGTTAAACTCTGATTTTTATATTTGATTCTCCTTGATATGACCACATACTTCCAGAGAGGCAGGCCCCAGCCCATGGATCATTGGGGTGGACAGATGGATGAATGAGTTAATAGATGGATGAGTGGAGGGAGAGAGTGAGAAAGAAATTGAAAGATGGATGAATGAATGGATGGTTGGATGGATGGATGGATGGATGGATGGATGGATGGATGGATAGATGAATTGATGGATAGCAACACTTTCTTCCTTGCTGCCTGATGTCCTTCACCTAGGTCTGATATTTCTCAAACCCTTGCCTATAGGCCTAAGCTAATGTGTGTGGTCATTTTAAGGACTTTTTATTTCCTCTATGTTAATGGCAACACAAAACATGAGACTTCTCTTCCCTAATGTGCCTCATGTCTCTGTAAATGGAAAATGGAGTGGGTATGCACATTTTTTTAATGTTCCTGTTATCCGTTGTCACCTTCCTATGGTAGCACAAACAAGAGTACCAGCCTGGGATATGCTACGTTCCCATTGAGACCAAGGAGGCAGAAGTTTTCTCTGTCAGTGATTTACTGTGTGACCTGTGCCAGCCCCTTCCCCTCTCTGAGCCTTGGTTTCCTCCTCTGTCCAATATGAGCATCCAATGAAACAGTGTCTGAGCTCCCCATTCTCCCTGTCATGCCCTATCTTTCAGGATGTGTTCACGTGCAGTGAAAAGACAAATAAATATAGCAATAGTAAAATGTATATTAAAATATCATTAACAAGATTAAAACCTCCAGAGCTGTTGCAGCTGCTCAATAATTTCGTCAAAGATACAGACTTTTTCTTTTTTTAATTTTAATTTTAGATTCAGAGGGTACATGTGAAGGTTTGTTATAAGGGTATATTGCATGATACTGAGGTTTGGGCTTCTATTGATCCCATTACCCAGACAGCAAACATGGTACCCAACAGGAAGTTTTCTCAGCCCTTGTCCCCCTCCCTAATTCTCTCCAGTGTCTATTGTTCCTAACTTTATATCTGTTTGTACCCAAGATTTAGCTCCAACTTATAAGTGAGAAGATATTTGGTTTTCTGTTCCTGTGTTGATTCACATAGGTTGATAGCCTCCAGCTCCATCCATGTTCCCGCAAAGGACATGATTTCATTCTTTTTTATGGCTGTGTAGTATTCCGTGGTGTATATGTACCATATTTTCTTTATCCAGTCTGCTATTGATGGACATATAGGTTGATTCCATGTCTTTGCTATTGAGACTAATACCTGTGCAGACTTTTTCAATCCTTTCTCTTCACCATATTTAACATGTTGGCTTCCAGTCTCATTCTTGTCATCTCATGGTCATATTATAGCTGCCACAGCACCAAATATCACACTTCGCTCTAGTATCCAAGTCAGGAAGGAAAGGCCCAACAACAAAAAAAGTGTTTTAAGGAAGGAAAACTTTTATTAGAAGCCCCCCAACAAGATTCTTCTATGTTTCTTTGGCCAGAATTGAATCATGAGGCCACATCTTGCTGTAAGGAAAGCTGGGAAAGCAAGTACTTGACAACAACAAACTGGGATTTCCATGGGTGTTTTGCTGCCTTGATCAGGGCAAGGAAACAAAATATATTTGAGGGAAGGAACTGACAGCATCTGCTAGGGAGGCCTCAAAAGTGGGTATCAAGTCATCCATGCTCCAGTCTACTCAGAAAGACAGAGCAGCCATTAATAAAATCATTTGAGGCCACAGTGAACACATGTGAGAAAACAGGGCAGAAACAGAACCCTTGAGTACTGAGTGGCTGTGTTTGAGGGAATGGAGGCAGGGAGGAATTGGAGATATTGATTGGATGGGGATGAGCATGAAGAGACAGGAAATCCTGACCTCTAGCTCATCCTGCCTGGGTTCAGGGCCCTTCCTTTTGTCCCCACATTTGTACTTGCTGTACTAAAATCTTCCATGTTCCCTCCTGATGGAGACCACTGTGAACTTGCCAAAATGCTCCCTTGCTGAAACCCCTGACGTTGTTTTCCATGTTCTGAAGAGTAGAGAGGAAATTCCTTCAACCTGTTTCCAAGG
Source organism: Homo sapiens (assembly GCF_000001405.40). Taxonomy (NCBI): domain Eukaryota; kingdom Metazoa; phylum Chordata; class Mammalia; order Primates; family Hominidae; genus Homo; species Homo sapiens. The sequence goes on from NC_000012.12 coordinate 114,331,451, forward strand.
ATCTGTGTGATCCAGTCTCTGCCAACCTCACTGGCCCTCACCACCTCTGCTCTCCCAGCATCCTGTGCTCCAGCCACACTGACCTCTTCCTGTTCCTAGAATTGATTTAGCTCAGTCCCACCTCAGGGCCTTTGCACATGCTGTCCCCTCTACCTGGAGAACAACTGGCCCTTATTTTTCTAGTTAATTCCTACTTATCTTCCTAATTGCAGCTTAAAGAATACTTCCTCAGAGCAGCCTTCACAACTTTCCTATACCATGACATAAATCAGCTATATTGACAGGTGTTCACCTAAGTCTATCCCTACCTCCCCCACTTCCCATACATTTGCATTTCAGCTCCAAGAGGGCAGGAATGATGTTCATGTATCTTGCCAAAAGCATAATAGTGATTAAAAGTGGAGGCTTTAGGGCCAAGCTGCATGGATTTAAATCTCAGCCATGCCACACTCTAGCAGAGTGACCTTGAGCAAGTGTCTTAACCTCTCTGTGCCTTACTTTCCTCATCTGTACAAAGGTAAGAATAAAATCTACTTCATAAGATTATTATAAGGATTAGATGAGTTAAATGTATATTAAAAGCTTCACATAGCACCTCACATAATATGTGTTATACATGTATTTGAAATAATAATAATAATTAGTATTATTATTATTGCTATCTCCACATTCCCAGTACCTAACAAATGCTGGCACATAGTAGGTGCATAAAAAAATACTTGTTGAATAGATAAGTGATTGTTTATTTCTATCACTCAAGGCAGAGATAATTATGCCTTTTTATTTATTTATTCCCATCATAGGAACAGGACTTGGCACATAGTAGTTCTGCAATAAATGGGGAATGACTCAATGCCTGAAAGTAGGAATGATTCCTCCCCACCCAAGCCATGTGGACTCCCAATATTGCTATCTGCCTTGAGCCTTCCCCCTTCCTTCTTGAATCCAGGTGGGGATCTTCAGCTGCCTGGCCATGGGACAACCTCCCCAGCCCCCTTTGCATTCCCCGACCCCAGCCAGAGATGCAGAGCAGCTTTGATCACTGACAGCAGCCTTCTTGGAAGAAAGAGAGAGAGAGAGAGAGAGAAGTCTGGCCATTTAAGCTCCCTGATCATGACACTTATTAATAAAGGGAATGGCTGTCAGCTCTGCTCCAATTAGTTATCCATCGTGCAGGGCAGACATGGAGGCTTCAGGGCGGCCACAAAGCTGGAAGTTGGAGGTGGGGGGACAAGTGAGAAGTCACTGCTTTCAGATATTAAACTCAGGAGCAAGCCTGGGCTTGTGCTACTCAGCTGAGAAAGGCCTGGTGCCCTTAGCATTCTCCCATCTCATTGGATTTTGACAGCCCTAGGTACTACATCCCCAATTTCCTCCTGTTTTCCTATTGTCGTTAAGTGTTTTGTTTGTGTTTGTTTTTTTGAGACAGGGTTTTGCTCTGTTGCCCAGGCTTGAGTGCAGTGGTGTGATCATTCATGGCTCACTGCAGCCTAGACCTCCTGGGCCCAATCTATCCTCCTGACTTAGCCTCCCAAATAGCTGGGACTACAGGCATGTGCCACCATGCCCGGCTAATTTTTGGGTTTTTGTTTTTCTTTTTGTTTTTGTAGAGATGGGGTTTTGCTGTGTTGCATAGGCTGGTCTTGAGCTCCTGGGCTCAAACCATCCCTCCACTTCGGCCTCCCCAAGTGCTGGGATTACAGGTGTAAGCCACTGTGCCCAGACTGTCATTAAGTATAATTATACAATTAATACATGAATAGGTTCTTTTTTTTTTTTTTTTGACGGAGTCTTGCTCTGTCATCCAGGCTGGAGTGCAGTGGCGCGATCTCGGCTCACTGCAAGTTCTGCCTCCCGGGTTCACGCCATTCTCCTGCCTCAGCCTCCCGAGTAGCTGGGACTACAGGTGCGCACCACCATACCCGGCTAATTTTTTGTATTTTTAATAGAGACGGGGTTTCACCGTGTTAGCCAGGATGATCTCGATCTCCTGACCTCGTGATTCACCTGCCTCGGCCTCCCAAAGTGCTGGGATTACAGGTGTGAGCCACTGTGCCCAGCCTGTTATTAAGTATAATTATACAATTAATACATGAATAGGTTCTTCTTGCTTAATCCTACAGATAAGGGCATATGGGCCCCACCTCACCTTGGTCTTCTCATTGTCTCCCAAGAAGTAACCATTGATAGCATTTTGGAATATCCGTCTCTTTCCAAAACTTCTTTTATGCCTGACTTTCTCTGTACCTCATTCAATAGATAGGCTTATTTTGCATGTGTATATATTAATATGTAGACTTTTCAGTTGGAGTGTGTTGATTTGCTTTGTTTTTCTTTCTTTTTTAATAGCACTATCTTGAACATGTGATGCTATACCTGGTTTCTTTTGTTCAACGATGCCATATAGGTCCATACAGAACAAACTCATTCTTTTTTACTAAGGCATAGCATTCCTAAAGGTAGATAAATCCTAGTTTATTCAACCCTAGCTGCATATTAATTACCAAGGGGTGTGTGTTTATGTGGGGGAGGGAGGAGTCCTTTATAAAATATGGATGCCAAGGCCTGTCCCTAGCAGAGTTGAATCAGAACTCCGAGGCTCCGGCCTGGGCATCAGTGTGCTACAATCCCCTAGTGATTTTAATGTGCAGCCAGGGTCAATGCTTATTCATTTAGCCAGTCCCCTACCAGTCCCCTGTTAATGCATATTCAAACTGTTTACAAGTCTTTGCTATTGGAAAAAAAAAAAAAAAAAGGCTCTCTGGGCATCTTTTTCATTCTTTCCTGTGCATCTGTGCTGGTATTTCTGTAGGAGAGGTTTTTGAACCTCAACACTATTGACATTTGGGGCCAGATAATTCTTTGTGGTGGGGGCCTGTCCTGTGCATTGTAGGATGTTGAGCAGCATCCCTGGCCTCTACCCACCCAAAGCCAGGAGTACCTGTGCACACACATCACGACCATCAAAAATGTCTCCAGATATATCCATGGTGGGGGCGGGGAGGGCAAAGTCAACCCTGGTTGAGAATGACTGCTCTGGGGAGGAACCCAAAAGGGAAGTTGCTGGATTATATGGGACATGCACTTTTTCTCTCTTTCTTTGTTTCTTTCTTTGTTTCTTTGTTTCTTTCTTTCTTTCTGTCTGTCTGTCTTTCTGTCTTTCTTTCTCTCTCTCTTTCCTTCCTTCCTTCTTTCTTTCTTTTTTTTTTTTTTTTTTTTTTTTGACAGAGTCTTGCTCTGTTGCCCAGGCTGGGGTGGTGCAGTAGCACAATCTCGACTCATTGCAACGTCTGCCTTCCAGATTCAAGCAATTCTCCTGCCGTAGCCTCCTGAATAGCTAGGATTACAGGCACCTGCCACCACGCCCAGCTAATTTGTGTATTTTTAGTAGAGATGAGGTTTCGCCATGTTGGCCAGGCTGGTCTCAAACTCCTGACCTCACGTAATCTGCCCGCCTCAGTCCCCTCATAGTGCTGGGATTACAGGCATGAGCCACCATGCCCGAGCAATGTGCACTTTTTTTTTTTTAGAGACACTACTTCAAACTGCCTGCGCTCATTCACAATCCCTAGTTTCCTAAGAATATCCTTTTGATGATCTTTCCATCTCTTTGTCCCTGTAAGTTTGGATTTAGAATTTGGGCTAAAACCCTAAGCATCTATCATCTATCTCCACTTCACCACTGCCTCCTGCAGCCCCCAAACCCAAGAATGCCATCGTGTTTTGGGATAGAATTCTAGAATCTAGAATATGAGTCTCGAGGTCTGGGGTGGTAGATGAGACTATCAAATAAGAGTGAGAACAAATTGATTTTCTTTTCTTTCTTTTCTTTTCTCTTTCCCTCAATTTCCTTCTTCCTCTCTTTCTTTCTTTTTTCCTTTTTTACAAAGTAATTCCGGCTGAAGGGGAGGGGTGGATTCTTCCTTCTTCCTGCCCCCACCTCGAATTTCCAGAATCTACTCTGTCTCGTTAAGATCACTGCCTCTGTCCTGGTTGCTCTGAGTTTTATACGTAAAGAGAATAGTGGACAAGAGGGAGGAAGATGAGGTAAGCTGTATTGAGAGACAGAAAGAGGCTTCCCAGGGACTCTGTGTGTGTTAGTGTGCACATGTGTGCGTGTGTTGAAAAGAAAATCAAATTCACAGGCTGGGAAGGAAGAGGAGGGGGAGAAGCAACAGGCCCAGCCAGTCGTGTCTCTTTAAGCAAGATAAGCCCCCTGGCCCATCCATCTCTCCTGACACTATCGGCCTGTTGTCTAAAGTACTTACAGTTCTCTCCGGGGGGGAGGAGGCCTGACCTGGAGATGCTGGGGGAGGGGAGGAAGTAGGGCCTCTAGGACAGGGCACCCTGGCTGGCCCACTTCCCCAAAGAGCAGGGACGCCTTGCAGACTGAGGAGGTCACCCCTCCCCTCCTCCACCCTCAGTCTGGCCTGTTTTTAGCTCAACCCTGAGTGCTGGAAAGATGGGCTGGTGCTGGCTCCCTACCTGGGGCCCCATTCCCAGGGGAATGGAACCACTTGAAACTGCAACTTGTCTTTCTCAAGTGGCCGGGAGAGAGTGTGAGCCCCAAGATAGAGAGAGTGAGCAGAAGGGAAAGGCCAAACCAACCTCAGCTCTCCTGCCTTTAATGGGTCCTTTAAAAATTCACTGTGATTCTTACTACCCTATGAAATAGACATGATTATCCTTTAAAAATCCTTTATATGACTAAATAGGTATGAGTATGCTCCCTGTCTCAGAGATACACTGAGACCCAGAAAAGTTAAATATCTTGACTGGGTTCACAGAGCTAATCAGAAGCGTTGGGTAGGATTAGGACTTGGACTTCTCTAAATTACAAAACTGGTGGGGCGTGGGGGCTCACAGCTGTGATCCCAGCACTTTGGGAGGCTGAGGCGAGTGGATCAGTGGAGGTCAGGAGTTTGAGACCAGCCTGGCCAACATGGCAAAAACCCCATCTCTACTAAAAATAGAAAAAATTAGCCGGGCATGGTGGCAGGCACCTATAATCCCAGCTACTCAAGAGGCTGAGGCAGGAGAATCGCTTGAACCCAGAAGGCAGAGGTTGCAGTGAGTCGAGATTGCGCCACTGCACCACTCCAGCCTGGGTGACAGAGCAATAATCTGCCTCAAAAAAAATGATAATAAAAATAAAATAAATTCCAAAGCCGACTTCTGGCCTCTAACCAGGGTATTTCTTGCATCTCCTCTGTGATAAGAAATCGTGTCGTGAATGATTGGTCTGAATTGATGTTTTCAAAGATCATTGGCTTAACCAGACTTTAGTCAGGTGTCTGAATCTTTTCCTGGGCCAATCTGTGTACTTCCTTGTAAAATCCATCTTTAGCAAGAGCCCTGCTAAGTCAGGTTAGCCAGTATCTTCACGCTGCATATCTGATCACTCTCTGTATCTGATCCCTCTTCATATGTGACCAGGTTCCTCACCCTCCACCACTCCCCAGGTGATGTCTGACCACCCTGGTCTGTCTTCAGCAAGACTCCTGTTAGGTCAGTTTAGCCAGAATCGCCCTGAGCCCTAATGCTTCCTTTCAGTAATATTCCATCCACTGACCCCCAACCCTGCTTCTTGGCTATAAATTCCCACTTGCTCATGCTGTATTCAGAGTTGAGCCCAGTCTCTCTCCCCCACTGCAAAATTCCATCACACTGGTCCCTGCACCTATTGTGATCGTTCCCCCACCTTGAACAGGCTGCTTTGCCATCTTGAACAATCATCATGAATGATTTTTTTTTTAATTTCAACTTCTATTTTAGATATGGGGTACATGTTCAAATTTGTTACATGGGAATATTGCGTGATGCTGATGGTACCGATCCCATCACACAGGTAGTGAGCACAGCACCCAGTAGGTAGTTTTTCAACCCATGCTTCCCTCCCTCCCTCCCTCCCCTCTCTAGTAGTCCACTGTGCCTATTGTTCCCATGTTTATATCCATGTATGCTCAATGTTTAGCCCCTCCTTAGAAGTTAGAACATGTGGTATTTGGTTTTCTGTTGCTGTATTAATTCATTTAGGATTATGGCCTCCAACAGCATCCATGTTTCTGCAAAGGACATGATTTTATTCTTTTTATGGCTGCCTAGTATTCCATGGTGTATATGCACTGCATTTTCTTGATCCTATCTACCATCGATGGACACCTGGGTTGATTCCATGTCTTTGCTATTGTGAATAGTGCTGTGATGAACATATGAGTGCAGGTGTCTTTTGGTAAAATGATTTGTTTTCCTTTAGGTATTTACCCAGTAATGGCATTGCTGGGTCAAATGGTAGCTCTATTTTAAGTTCTTTGAGAAATCTCCAGACAGCTTTCCACAGTGGCTGAACTAATCTACATTCCCACCAACAGTGTATAAGCGTTCCGTTTTTCCACAGCCTCACCAGCACTGTTGTCTTTTTACTTTTTAATAGTAGCTATTCTGACTGGTGTGAGATGGTATCTCGTTGTGGTTTTGACTTTCATTCCTCTGATGATTAGAGACGATGAGCATGTTTTCATATGTTTGTTGGCCATGTGTATGTCTTCTTTTGAGAAGTGTCTGTTCATGTCCTTTGCCCATTTTTTAATGGGGTCGTTTTTTCTTGTCGATTTGTTTAAGTTTCTTATAGATTGTGGATATTAGGACTTTGTCAGATGCATACTTTGTGAATATTTCTCCCATTCTGTAGGCTATCTGTGTACTCTATTGATAGTTTCTTTTGCTGTGCAGAAGCTCTTTAGTTTAATGAAGTCCCATTTGTCAATTTTTATTTCTGCTGCAATTGCTTTTGGAGGACATGGCCAAAAATTCTTGGCCAAGATCAGTGTTAAGAAGAGCATTTCCTAGGTTGTCTTCTAGGATTTTTATAATTTGAGGTCTTACCTCTAAATCTTTGATCCATCTTGAGTTAATTTTTGTATACAGTGAGAGGTAGTGGTTCAGCTTCAATCTTCTGCATGTGGGTAGCCAGTTATCCTAGCACCATTTATTGAATAAGATGTCCTTTTTCCATTGCTTTTGTTCATTTGTTTCTTTGTTTGTTTTATTTTTATGAGACAGAGTCTTGCTCTGTCACCCAGGCTGGAGTACAGTGGCAGGATCTCAGCTCACTGCAACCTCCACCTCCCAGGTTTCAGCGATTCTCCTGTCTCAGCCTCCTGAGTAGCTGAGATTACAGGTGCCCACCACCACACCTGGCTAATTTTTGTATTTTCAGTAGAGATGTGGCTTTGCCATGTTGGCCAGGATAGTCTCAAACTCCTGACCTCAGGTGATCCACCCACCTTGGCCTCCCAAAGTGCTGGGATTACAGGTGTGAGCCACTGCACCTGGCCCCATTGCTTGTTTTTGTTGGCCTTGTCAAAGATCAGATGGCTGTAGCTGTGCTGTTTTATTTCTGGGTTTCCTCTTCTATTCCATTGATGAATGATGTTTTTCTTTAATGACGTTTAGCCATTCATTCTTCATTCATTCAACAAACATTGCTTGCAAATCACCTCTGTGACAGGCTCATCTCTGAGTACAGGTGATAAAGACCTGGTCTCAATTGCTGACCAATTTCTATTAATGTCTGCCTAGATTAAAAGACCTGCAGGCCGGGCGCAGTGGCTCATGCCTATAATCCCAGCACTTTGGGAGGCCAAGGTGGGTGGATCATGAGGTCAGCAGATCGAGACGATCCTGGCCAACATGGTGAGACCCTGTCTTTACTAAAAATACAAAAATTAGCTGGGCATGGCAGCATGTGCCCGTAATCCCACATACTCAGGAGGCTGAGGCAGGAGAATTGCTTGAACCTGGGAGGTGGAGGTTCCAGTGAGTTGAGATCGTGCGACTGAACTCCAGCCTGGCTGGAGAGCTAGACTCCACCAAAAGAAAAAAAAAAACCCTGCAGAAGGAGCAGAAAACCAAATATCACATGCTATCCCTTATAAGTGGGAGCTAAAAGATGAGAACTCATGGATACCAAGAGGGGAACAACAGACACTGGAGCAGTGGAGGGCGGGAGGAGGAGAGGAGAAGAAAAAATAACTACTGGGCACTGAGAGCTTAGTACCTGGGTGATGAAATAATCTGTACAACAAAGTCCCATGATATGAGTTTACCTATATAACAAACTTGTACATGTACCCCTAAGCCTAAAAGTTAAAAATTAATTAATTTTAAAAATGTTTTGATCAATAAAAATAATTTAAGCCTTAAAAAAAAGACCTGCAGAGACCTTGTATATTAGTCAGCGTTCTCTAGAGAGAAAGGACTAATAGGATAGATGTAAATATGAAACAGAGTTTATTAAGGAGTATTGACTCACAGGATCATGAGGTTAAGTCCCACAATAGGCCATCTGCAAGCTGAGGAACAAGAAAGCCAGTCTGAGTCACAAAACCTCAAAAGCAGGGAAGCCAACAGTGAAGCCAACAGTGTAGCCTTCAGTCTGTGGCCAAAGGCCCAAGAGCCCCTGGCAAACCACTGGTGTAAGTCCAAGAGTCCAAAAGTTGAAGAACTTGGAGTGTGATATTCAAGGGCAGGAAGCGTCCAGCATGGAAGAAAGAGGATCAGAAGACTTAGCCAGTCTAGTCTCTCCATGTTCCTCTGCTTCCTTTTATCCTATCCACATGGGCAGCTGATCAGATGGTGCCCACCCAGACTGAGGTTCGGTTTGCCTCTCCCAGTACGCTGTCTCAAATGTCATTCTCCTTTGGCAACACCTCACAGACACACCCAGGAACAATACTTTGCATTCTTCAATCTAATCAAGTTAACACTCAATATTAACCATCACACCTTGATAACCAGCCCTTACCATTTTGGCCCCAAAACACTACATTTCCCCAAATTGTGACTTGGGATTTTGTAGCACATCTAGGGAACCCAGGAGAAACAGTCCTATTATCTTTGCTGTTGGGTTTACCACGATGGTATCATGAAAAACATCATCAAAACATTACTCAGCACTGCAACATCTTTACAAGAACCCAAGGGAGAACTTGCTCCTGGTTTTTTGCAAACATCTCGATTTGTTTGTCTTTTATGAACTCATGAGCTCTTATAGCTGACTATAATTCTCAACTTGTTTTGGCAGCTAGGAAGCTCAGAGCCAAATATATTTCTATTAACTACACAGAATGTTCCAGTTCTGAAGGCTAAGAAGTAAAATACCCTAAAACTTCATGGCGTAAGCAAAATACCCTAAAACTTCATGGTGTAAAACAACCATTTATTATGCCTTTGGATTCTGAGGTTGGCGATTTAGACAGGGCATAACAGGGGCAACTTGTCTCTGGACCATGATGTTGAGACTTGAGGATGGAATAATCTGAAGGCTTTTCACTCACATGGCTGATGGTGGATGTTGGGTTTAGGCTAGGGGTTTCAACTCCTTGACACGTAGTCCTCTCCTGTGGTCTCTCCCTGTGGGCTAGTTTGGGCTTCCTCACAGCATGGTGGCTGGGTTTCCAACAGCAAGTGTTCCAAAGGGGGGAAATTAGGTGGAAGTTGTACCACCTTTTTATGATCTAGCTTCAGAAGGGTTGCAGACTGAGGAGGTAACCCCCATTTCCCCCAGCCTAGTGCCTGGTCTATTTTTATCTCAGCTCTTAGTGCTGGGTAACATTAACCCCCTACTACATCCTATCTGTCAGAAGTAAGCTGCTGGATCCCACCCATAATGAAGTGAAGAATCACATTCCACCCCTTGATAGACACATCCATGTTCTGAAGGAGAAGGAGTGTAAAAATACTGCTGTGGCCCTTTTGAAAAATAATGCCACACAAGACCAAATGGAACTCATTGATAGGTGCTCATTATTCTTGGCTTTATCACTATTTTGTACATTGTCGTCTTTGTGGGTGGCATGTATTTTTGCAAGCAGCCTCAAATTATTTATGGAAATAGGTAAAAAGTAGACAACAGCTGGGACCAAAGCTGTTTTCTGAGTATTTGTAATGTGCTTGGCACTGTGCAAATAGTTCTTTCCTGGTGCCTTCACTCATTTAATTCACAAACAGCCTCTTATCAATATTTTGCAAGTGAAGAAACTGGAGCACAGGAAATTAAAGTTTACCAGATCTGACATCACTGAATAGTGGCAGAGGTGGGGTTCGATTCCAGGCCGTCTGATTAGCTCTGCCCAGGTAGTCACCTCATACACCTTCATTCTTATCTTTTGAGCCTTACTCCACACCAAGGGTCTGACTTGGTGTTGTAACATGAAGGTTACTCAAGATTTACCCCTCTCCTCTGCAAAACATCTCCGCCGACCACCAAGTGTTCTGAAACGCCACTTTTGCCAGGAAATAAGAGTATTCAGTGACTCCTGCATATTCATCAAAATTAGCATTCTCTCCAACTTAGATCAGCCAGCCTGAGGGAAACGAGGCAGAATGTGTCTGAGCACCCACTTCTGGCCCAGCCCTGAGCTAATGCTCACAAATCAGAAAACAAAGCAGTCCACGTCACACTGGGCTGAGATCTACTTGAGGGCAGGGATTGGGGTTGTTCGGCTTTGTAGTTTGGCACATTACAAAATGTATCTAGTATGGTGAATGAAGAAAGTGAAAGTGTTTGTCTATCCCAAGAATGAGACCTTAGGTAAGTGACAACCCTGTAAGCTTCCATTTCCTCATCCATAAAACAGGGATAAGAATATTTTCCTACACACCTCACAGGGCTATATTGGGAATCCTTTAACTGAGTAGGTCTCCCTCTGGCTCTGACTTCCAAAAAGCTTAAAGGCAGTTTTGAGACCTATGCATGATAATCATATAAAATGCTTAGCATGTAATCAGCCCAAAATAAACAGGGCTTTGGGAGCACTCCGGGTCTTCTGCTCCACACCCCATTATAGTTGATGGCAAAGGGGAAGAAAAGATTGAGTGAAGTCATTGGTCTTCTCCCTTCCCCACCTCTGAAAAGGGCAGCCTCAGTGCAATGGGATGGAAACTCGGGCTTTGGTGTTTCAAGAACTAATGGAAATCTCCTGAAAACCTATTTTTGTAAACCTTTGATCCTTCAAGCCAAGATCTTCGGGCCAAATGTCTGAGTTAGTGGATCTAACCAAATGCAGTCAATGATGCTCAGAGGTTGCAGCCTCTTTGGGGTGTGCCTAGTGGAGGGGTGTTGAGTGAGCAGGTGGGGATAGCAACCTATTTGCAGAACACAAGAAGTTAGCTCCAATGGCCAGGTGTTGCTTTGTCTTTCTTGGCCCAATTAGCACTGACTGCTATTTTTATTTTTGATGTAGGATGTGGCTGGTGAGTCAGGAAGAAAAGGGCGCCTCATTATTTGTTCCTTGCTTGCTCTTGGAAATATCAAGAATACTTGGCCCTCAAGACAAACCCCAGCTCTGGGCCTAAAAGCTAAGTTATATGTTATATATTTATTCAAGGCAGCAATTGGCCAGGAAACGACTATAAAACACACATTTTGAATAAAAGAGGGAGATTTATGGTGCAATGGCGAATCTGAGTCATATCTCTCTGCCTCCCCCAGGCCAGGATCCCTTAATCACTAACATACCCCCAGCTTGTACACTCGGTGGGCACAGAATTGCTTCCTTCTGGTCCCGTCCCTGCTAAAGATGTGATGGGGATTGTGCTACTTCATCTGACAGTCGGTAAATGAATTGCCAATTCATTCTGAGCTTAGATGGGGGCTGGTTTTTTCCTTGGGAAGAAAAAAAAGTGGGGTTCTTTCATATGTATCTTTGATCAGTCGGGACTTGACAAATTATTTTCCTAGGAATTTCTCTATCCATAATGCCACTGGGAAAAAATGGATTTACTCTAAAAGAATAGCTTTTATGTTTCAGAAATTAGAGCAATGTAAAAGCTTTTACTGAGTTCCTTTCTCTCTCTCTCTCTCTTTTCTCCCTTCAATTGTATTTTTCTCTAGAGCAAGGAGACAGGTAGCAGAAAGAGCTAGAAAAGTCCACTGATAATAGCTAGGTTTCTGGCTGCTTGTTTCAAGTGTATGAAAGTAGCAAGAAAATAAGTCTCAACTTCCTTATACAATTGGTATTGAGAAAGCAAAGTCAAATCTTCTACCCCAATTTTCCCTTGTAGTAGCTGAATTTTTCTCATTAGAACTCTTGTTTTTGGACAAACTTTAACCTGAAGAATATCTGAATTGTATTTCAGCAGGATGCAACCACGCCACAACTATCTCATTCCCAGGGCTTAGATATTAACTTACAAAAGGCAAAGGGCTGGGACAGAAGATCTTGAAGTTATTTTCATATCAAAGTTTTTATCAGCTATAGAACAACCTGAAAGAAGAGAATGTATCGAAAATACAATGGCACAGAACCACATGAACAGTTGGGTGGGTTGTGCACTGCGCAACTCCAAGAGGCACCATTGAGATGGACTATCAGTGTGAGTGACTTACCCTTAGGATTGTGCTGTGCACAAGCTGTAAAACTGTGAATGAAAGATTTGAAAGGGAACTCAAAGATAATCATAACAAAGGGCAATCTTGGGGATCTGGATCAGAGGAACTAAAAAGAGTTTTGTTAGGGACTAAATGAGCACCAGTAGTTTTGGTCTGTTTATTTCTCCACTCAAGATTCTCTCTCTGGGAAAGAAAGTCTATAAGCTGCCATGAGTCAGCTACTCCTAGCCCCTTGTCTAAGGAGGAGAAAGCTCTCTGGTTAACAGCTTTGCTTTCTTATTAAAGCATACCCTGAGATGAGGATTTGGATGCAGCATTTTATTTGGATAAGGGGTTGGGAAATGAGACGAGGAAGGGAAGGAAGCCAATGTGTTATGATAGTAATGTGCTAATGAGTAGGTCACCTCTGTGTGCAACTGAGGCTTGCTTGCAACTGATCCCTGCTGGAGACCCTCTGAAAGTGTGTGGAACATGCTAAAAATTTTCCCACCAAGGGGACAGAAGGCTTGGATATTTACATACCAACTCCCATCTCTCATTACTTGGGGGACACTCTAGGAGGCCTTAATTCTCTGGCATTTATAGCCTGACCCACACACAAGCCAATTACACATTTGTGGCCAGAGAAAGACCTCAGGCAGAGAGACATAGATGCTGGAGGTAGGAAGTCATTGGCCTGCATGGGAGCTACACACTGAAGCTGCAGGAGACCTGGAGGATGGGCCCAGCAGATAGGACCAGGCACTGACAACATCTGCGTACCTGCCAAGATCAGTCATAAAAAGAGAAAGATAAATGCCTCCCACCAAAACAATTGGGGTGGCATCTCCAAAAGAAGAGGAAATGGATTCAGGGAAGTCACAAGGCACCCAATGGCAGTCACGCAAGAGTTCCAGAACAAGTACAATTTTGCCCAGGTTTTTGCCCCATCTCTGCCACTAAACAGCCCTATGACCTTGAGCAAGTCACTGACTCCACTCTGGAGATACTCAGGCCTCAGTTTCCCCTTCTCAAAACTCTGTAGAAGATAATATCTGACATTTCCAGGGGCCTCAGACCCTGGGGATAAAAACAGGGACTCCTCTCCCAGTGGTTTTGGAGTTGTAACATAAAGCAAAGGCTAAGTGAATTGCTCTCCAGCATGAGACATCCACTAAGTGTCTGTCCCACTTCATCAGATGGGGGTTGAGAGTTCACATCACAGCTGAGCTCAGAATTTGCCTGCAACAGGAAGGACCTTAGATGGGAGAGCTCGTGTGGGGTCTTAAAAAGCAGAGCTGAGGCTTCCCTAAAGAGAAAGAAGAAATTATGCCTGTGGACAGCAGCTTTGGCCATACCTGAGAGTCACAGCCTGCCAGTTACCGACTGAATTTTGCCCAGCCCCCACTGCCAAAAATTCATATGTTGAAGCCCCAACCCTCAATATGACTGTAGTAGAAGATGGGGCCTTAAGGAGGTAATGAAGGTCAAGTGAGGTCATAAGAGGGTTCCCTAATCTTACAGAAAGAGGGAGAGATGCCAGATCTCTCTCTCTCTCTTCTCTCTCTCTCTGTCTCTCTCTCCTTCCCACCCTCATGTGCCCACAGAGAAGAGACCATGTGAGGAGACAGCCAGAAGGTACATTTATACCATGGAATACTACTCAGTGATTTAAAAAAAAAATGAATGAGCTATTAATACACCCAATGCCTTGGATGAATCTAAAGGGAATTATGCTGAATGAAAAAAAGCCAACCGCCCAAAACTTATATACTGTATAGTTCTATTTATGTAACATTCTTGAAATAGTCCTATTTATATAACATTCTTGTCATTTATATAACATTCTCTATAGTTCTATTTATATAACATTCTTGGATAAAATTATAGAAATGAACAGATTAATTAGTGGTTGTCTGGGGTTAGAAATAGGGTTGCAGGGGTTGTATGTGGTTATAAAAGAGTAACACGAGAGATCGTTTTGGTGATGGAAATGTTCTGTGTTTTGACTGTGGTAGAAGATACTACATGTGTGATAAAATTGCATGGCACTAAATGCACACACCCACAAGTGAGTACAAATAAACTGGAGAAATCTGCATAATATTGGTGGTTGTACCAGTGTTAATATCCTCATTGTGCTAAGGTTTTGCAAGGTATTATGATATATGGGTAAAGGGTATATGGGATTTCTCTGTGTTTTCTTACAACTGCATGTGAATCTACACTTATTTCAAAATAAAAAGTTTAAGAGAGGCTGGGCACGGTGGCTCGCACCTGTAATCCCACCACTTTGGGAAGCAGAGGCAGGTGGATCACTGGAGGCTAGGAGTTTGAGACCAGCCTGGGCAACATGGCGAAACCCCGTCTCTACTAAAAACACACAAAAAAATTAGCCAGGCATGGTGGCGCGTACCTGTAATCCCAGCTACTTGGGAAGCTGAAGCATGAGAATCGCTTGAACCTGGGAGGCGGAGGTTGCAGTGAGCCAAGATTGGGCCACTGCACTCCAGGCTGGGTGTCTCAAAAAAAAAAAAAGAAAAGAAAAGAAAGAAAGCTTAAGAAAAAGGGAGAGAATACAATGAGGCTGGTCAAGGAAGGCCTAGTAAGAGCTGGTAAGACCCTGCCTTAGTTTGGGCTCACCCTGAGGGCAGGATTTGGGAGGACTTGGAAGGTGATCTCGGGGAGGAAGAAGGATGAAAGGAGAAAAAGCCAAGTGATTGAGTTATTGAGCTGATTACCACTGTGTGCAACCAGAGTGCAGGCCTCTGAGGACCCTCTGAGGAATTGTGTAGAATGTACCTCCAAACTGTCCCTCCAAAGGACAGGAGGCTGAGGCCTCTATCCACCAACTCCCCACCCACTCTACAGAGAGTGTTCCCAGAGTCATTATTTCTGGGCTGTGCCTGCATTCAGGCCGAGGGAGCCTCTCATCTTTAGAGATAGCCCTGCTGCAGAAAAACAGATTTGTGGTGGAGCTCAAGGTGGGATGCTGTCAGCATGCACTGAGCCTTCTGCCCTATGTCTGAAATTAGAGGTGGGCAGAGAGGATGCAAGACATAGCACAGGAATCCTCTGCTACAGCAACCTCGACATGTAGAACCCTGTCCTCCAATGAGCACATCTGGTGAGTCATTCTTAATCCATTTATTCAGATCATAGTGAACACCTTCCAGGGTGAAAATACAAGCAATTAATACTGGATCAATCCTGCCTCCATGAAGCTCTCTTGGTCCCAGGAAAATATCTACAGTTCAATAAATGAGAAGATCCCAGTACTTTGAGAGGCCGAGGTGGGAGGATCACTTGAGCTCAGGAGTTCAAGACCAGACTGGGCAACATGATGATACTCCATCTCTACAAAAAAAAGAAAAAAAAGAAAAGGAAGGAAGGAAGAAAGGTAGGCAGGCAGGCAGGCAGGAAGGAAGGAAGGAATGTTAACTGTGATTAATGTTTAAAAAAAAAACAAAAGAGAGAAGATTCTCCTAATTCGTTATGTCATGAGGTTGTGTCATGAGGATGGCAAAGTCTTCCTGAGGGAAGTTATAGTTTTTAAGCCTCTGTTATTAAATGTGTAGAGAGGGCCAGATGCCCTGCTGATTGCTTTACATAAACTCTCTCCTTTTATCACTACCTCAGGCCTGCAAAGTGGATCTTACCACTTCCACTTTGCAGAGATGGAAACTGAGGTTTGGGGCAAGTGAATAATTTGCTCACACACTAGAGGGCTAGCTGGGCTTCCAAGACCAGGAAGGCAGTCTTTAGCCACAAGATTACAAATCCTCCTTTACTTGTCCTGACGTTGACATCTCCAAGGACATGCCACCCAAAAGCACTGCTCTGTCACACTCCAGCCACCATCTCCCTCTGTCCCTCCCTCTCTTAGGCCCATGGGAAAGGACAGAGATGACATGAATCATTCCATCCCCTAAAGGAGTCTTGGCAGCGTGGAATGGAAGACAAGCCACCATGAGCTGGGTAACACTGGACAATCACCATGTTGCTTGGTATAGGGACTAGCACATGGTACATAAATGAAAGCTATTATTGCTATTGCCACTACTATTATCAACACTGGAGGGACATCAGTAAAATATCAAAACTCTGCCAGGAACAATCTTCAACTTGCACACCAGGCTGTCTCCTCCACCCCAACACTCACAGTTTCAGGAACTGGAACCAAGTATGCCTAAACCAACATATTCACTAGGATTAACATGCATGACTTCTTTCTAAGTGGAATAATAATGAATTCTGGCCAGGCGAGTGGGCTTCTGCCTGTAATCCCAGTGACTCAGGAGGCTGAGGCAGGCAGATTGCTTGAGGCCAGGAGTTCAAGACCAGCCTAGGCAATATAGTGAGAACTCACCTCTTAAAAAAATAATAATAATAATTAGCCAGGTATGGTAGTGCGCACCTATAGTCTCAGCTATGCGAGAGGCTAAAGTGAGAGGATCACTTGAGAGCTCAGGAGGCTGAGGCTGCAGTGAGTTGGCACTGCACTCCAGCAGCATGGGCAACAAAGCAAGATCCCATCTCTAAAAAAAAAAAAAAAAAGGAGTTCTGAAGTTGAAGTCAGAAAAGAAAAGGTGAGGTGCTGATAATCAGTCTTTAGAGACATAAAACCTACTCTTCCTTCTTTGTGGCCACCAAGGTCCAAAGTTGACAGTCACTTACAAAAGCAGCTATTTATTTTATTTTATTATTTTTAGAGAGAGAGGGTCTCCCTCTGTCACTCAGGCTGGAGTGCAGTGGCTCAGTCATAGCTCACTGGAACTTGCAACTCTTGGACTCAAGCAATCCTCCTGCCTCAGCCTTCCAAATAGCTAGGACTACAGGTGCATACCACCATGCCTGGCTAATTTAAAATTTTTTATAGAGATGAGGTTTCGCTATGTTGCCCAGGCTGGTCTTGAACTCCTGGCCTCAAGCTATCCTCTTGCCTCAGCCTCCCAAAGTGCTGAGATTATAGGTGTGGGCCATTAGCCACTGCACCTGGCCTAAAGTCAGATATTTAAATAAGATTTAAGATGATGCCTGTGGGAAAGCTATGTTTTAATTATTGTTGAAAGTGATGATACTGATGATGGTAGTGGTGGTGGCAGTGGTGGTGAGGATGTTGATGGTGATGTTTTCTAGCCTCTACTGAGCTTAGGTGTATTATAAAAATAGTAGAAGACTATAGGGGCAAATTTTCCAACAGAGAAGAAAGAGGAGAAAGACAAGAAGCAGCAGCATTAATAATTATAAATCCGGCTGGGCATGGTGACTCACGCCTGTAATCCAAGGACTTTGAGAGGCCAAGGCTAGTGGATCACCTGAGGTCAGGAGTTTGAGACCAGCCTGACCAACATGGAGAAACCCTGTCTCTACTAAAAATACAAAATTAACTGGGCGTGGTGGCACATGCCTATAATCCCAGCTACTCAGGAGGCTGAGGCAGGAGAATTGCTTGAACACGGGAGGCGTGGGTTTCAGTGAGCCGAGATCGCACCATTGCACTCCAGGCTGGGCAAGAAGAGCAAAATTCCATCTCCAAAAAAAAAAAAAAAAATTATAAATCCTAGTTAATGTTTTCATGAGCTAACAGCTGTTGCGCATTTTCTCTATACCAGCTGATATGGTTTGGCTGTGTCCCCACCCCAATCTCATCTTGAATTGTAGCTCCCATAATCCCCACGTGTCCTGGGAGGGACCCAGTGGGAGATAATTGAATCATGGGGGTGGGTCTTTCCCATGCTGTTCTCGTGATAGTGAATAAGTCTCACAAGATCTGATGGTTTTATAAAGGGCAGTTCCCCTACACAAGCTCCCTGTACTCCCACCATGTAAGACGGGCTTTTGCTCCACCTTTCACCATGATTGTGAGGCCTCCCCAGCCATGTGGAACTGTGAGTCCATCAAACCTCTTTTTCTTTATAAATTACCCAGTCTCAGGTATGTCTTTATTAGCAGCTGAGAACAGACTAATACACCAGGCTCTGTGCTAAGCACTTTATGCTCATTGTCTCACTGAATCCTCAGACAAACGAGGAATCTCTGGGATAAATACTTGTAGTAACCCCATTTTACATATGATCAAATGGAAGGTCAAAGAGGTTAAGAGACTTGCCCAAGGTCACAAAGGCAGTAAATGACAGAGTGAATTTTATAACCCAGTTCAATTAGAGAACAAAGGTGAGATAAATGAGTGCCTGATTCAATACGTGTGTTGTGTTTATTAAAAGGGAATAATAGCTCATCCCAGGACCATAGCCTAACCTCCCAAGAGGACCAAGAAAGTACATGTACCCCAAAACTTAAAGTATAATAATAATAAAATTAAAAAAAAAAAGAAAAGAAAGCACACAAGTAGCAATCTCAGAAAGTGAAGACAAAGAGAAGTATCCAGCCATCACCTTGTTTTTGAGTTGAATATGGAGCATTCCATGATGAGCAGTCGGCTGATCAGTACCAGTACCCAGCTCTGTCACTGATGGGGCCAATGTATCTCATTACAGGAGCTTCATCCCTTCCTCCTCAAGGTAGACAGGAGTGTCCCATTTTTCTCACAGACTCATTTCAATGAACAAACAACAAGCTAGATTTTATTTACTAATTCTACTTCTAGTTACAAAGATAATTCATCTTCATCATGAGGAAAACTGGGACATCCCAAAAGAACAAAGAAAATTTGAACACCCACAATCCCATCACTGTTATTGTTATACATCCTAAGAGTGCTTTTGTTTCCTTTCAAGTGTGAATGTATGCTGGTGTGTTTAATCAAATTGAGAAGCTGCTGTGCAAGCTACTTGAAGCTTCTTTAGCTTGCAGTGAATTTTAAACATCTTCTCCACAAATGTGTTTCTTCTTTTTTTATTTTCTTGAGACGGAGTCTCACTCTGTCATCCCAGCTGGAGTGTAGTGGCATGATCTTGGCTCACTGCAACCTCTGCCTCCCGAGTAGCTGGGATTACAGGCGTGCACCACCACGCCCAGCTAATTATTGTGTTTTTAGTAGAGATGGAGTTTCACCATGTTGGCCAGGCTGGTCGTGGACTCCTGACCTCAGGTGATCTGCCTGCCTCGGCCTTGCAAAGTGCTGGGATTACAGGCATGAGCCACCACACCTGGCCCACAAATGTGTTTCTTAATGGCCATGTGGTATTTCATCATGCACTAATTTATTTAACCAACTCCATATTATTGGATATTAAGGCTGTTTCCTATTTTGCATGATTTTAAAAAATCATGATAGACTTCCCAGAAAATAAATGTTTATATACATCTCTGATTATTTCCTTCCGACCAATGCCTCAAAGCAGAATTATCAGACTAAATGATTTGCACATTAAGACTTTTGATACATTTTGCAAACTCTCCCCTCCCAAAGGTTTATCTAGTTTGTATTCCCAACCATTAGTTTATGAGATTTTCTACTTTCTCATTAGCAATAGGTAATATTATTTTTTAAATATACATTTGCCAAGTCAATGATTTAAAAAATTATATTTAACTTGAATTCCATTGATTAAAGTCTTTCGGCCTGGTGCAGTGGCTCACGCCTGTAATCCCAGCACTTTGGGAGGCCAAGGTGGGTGGATCACCTGAGGTCGGGAGTTCGAAACCAGCCTGACCAACATGGAGAAACCCCATTTCTACTAAAAATACAAAATTAGCCGGGTGTGGTGGCGCATGCCTGTAATCCCAGCTACTCGGAAGGCTGAGGCAGGAGAATCACTTGAACCCAGGAGGCAGAGGTTGTGGTGAGCCGAGATTGCGCCACTACACTCCAGCCTGGGCAACAAGAGCAAAACTCCGTCTCAAAAAAAACCATAAATAAATAAATAAAGTCTTTCAAGCATTTACTGAACATCTGCTGTGTTACATACTTTGCTGGAAACTTTCACAGATATTATCTCACCTACATGCACAACAGTTCTTTGAAGCATGTAGAATATCTTCTCTGTTTTTTTTTTTTTTTTTTGTAGAGACAGGGGTCTTGCTATATTGCCCAGGCTTATTCCTGGGCTTCAGCAATCCTCCGTCCTTGGCCTCCCGAAGTGTTGGAATTACAGGCATGAGCCACCAAACCCAGCCAATTATCTCCTTTTTATAGAGGAGGAAACTTAAGGCTTGGGCTAACTTAGGTTTCACGGTAAGCCCTGCCACACACCAGCTGTGTAATCTGGGGGGGGAATTTTCAACCTCTCTGAGCTCAAGAATACTAATGAGCTGACCCTCTTGAAAGTTCTTGTGTTTCTTCTGTCCTATAAGCTTGGGTCCTAAACTGTAGAGGACCAGGAAGCCAGGCGGATGCTGTAATATTCCTGAGTACAAAAAAACCTACCATCTCACACATCCAGAGTCTGTCCTCTGCAACTTTAGAAATTACCTGGAAAGGAGCCTATCACAATTAGTAGGTCCTGTATGAGTAAAGATATCGACCGCACATAGTAGAACCTTCCTACCTGTTTACTGAATGAAGGCATGTGAACTAGGTGATTACTACCCACTTACAAACCTACATCTCATTCCTCCATCACAATTTCTGCCTCAGGACTTTGCACAAGCTGTTCCCTCTCTCTGCAATACTTTTCCTCCCAAACTTTTACCTGATTAATTCCTACTCATCATTAGGGCTGTGCTCAAGAGTCACCTCCCCCAGATGGGGTTAGGACCCCTTGCCTTATCCCTTTATGCCATTGGGCACTCTGTCTTTGTAGTAATTTCCACCACTGCAATCCACTGAGGATGCACATAATTTCCTAAGGGCTATTTCTCTCTCTCACTAAATCATAAGTTCCAAAGGACACAGCCCCTCTCTTTTTGTTCACTGCTGTGTCGCCGGTACTTACCACATGTCCAGTCTAAAGCAAGCACCCACCAAATACATTATAGGACTGTAACAATGTGCATTGTGTGCCTTGCCATGGTTTTATCAACACCATGATGAAACTACATTAACTCTTGGACATTGCATCCTTAATCCTACTGATTCAGTGAAAAGATCCACTATAACAATCATTTAGAACCCAAAGAGGTTAACCTGTATTGGTTATGAAATGACAGTGTCCCTTGTCTGATTTGTGAAACTTGCTGTGAACATATTTTTAATGATTTTCCAATGGTGGCAACTGTTTGAGTGGTGGGGTGGGGATGCAGATTCCTAATTTGGATGATGTTCCTCTGAAAGCATAAGACTGACTGTTGTATAGAGTTGATAAAATTAGTTTCAAAGGCAATGTCTTCAAAGGCAACTTTTTTTTTTTTTAAACTGAACCCATCAGAATAAATATCTATTTGGAGCACAGTCAGAACCTGTTCAGTGAAACTTTACTAATGCAGTCCTTTGGGGGAACAGGAAAGCCATTGACCTAGTTTCTCCATTGCACTTGAAAGAAGCTGAATTGTCATTTCTTTATAATTAATTCACACTTCTCAGGGCTTCTTTGCCTGGGAAAGGTCCCAGGGGACCTGATTAAATGAATAACTTGTAATCAACAAGCCAATTGTTTCTTTTTCAAGGGGATGTGGCATATTTGATAGCTCTTGATAATTTGAGGGATGCGGGCATCAAAATTACAAAAACAGAACAAATCTGCTGCACAAATGTACTCACCAATTTGCTGCTCTCTTCTGTCCCATATGTGTTTTAGAGCTCAAGTTCACAAATCCTAGATCCATGGATTTAAAATCAATATCTGATTCACTGATGGTTCATAAAGTTATTTGCAGTAGAACCCCCAAAACGCCTGGCTCCAACAATTAATTCAGAGAAAGAGATTCTTGAAAAACCCAAACATTAGGTGTTACATATAATATGACCGATACCATTTTAAATAGGTTGGAATTCCTAAAGACTTTTCTTCTCCAGTGCCTACACAAATTCCATTAAAACAAGTAACCTCATTCCAAGGATATAAACCAGTGGATCATATATTCAGCTTCATCACACTCAAGGACAATGGATCCCAAATTCTCCTGCGATGGGCATGAGAAATCACGTGAGGTGAGAAATTCACATGCAAGACAACCTCTTCCTGTTTCCTCCAATTCCTATCCCCTCTATTCAGTCGGTAGAAAGAACAGGAAAAAAAAAAAATGGGTGTTCAACTTCCTTGTACTTGTTTAAGCACATGGTATTTATTAGGCATTAATTGGCACACAAATATAAGGCACGAGTACTTAATCCTCACCCTCCCCCCTTAGCAACGTAAAGAGACATAATCGCATAGGGACACTCACTTACAAACACACTCACACTCTCTCACGTACTTAAACACACTCAGCCTCACATCTTACCCTGTTCTCTTTATTAGGGTCTGTTTATAAAAAAGGAAAAAAAAAATTCTTTTTAATCAAAAAAAGCAAAGCACATTCGAAAGAGGAAAAAAACAAAAAAAAACAAAAAAACACAAACTTGGTTTTGAGTATCAATAAAATTAAAAGCTCTTGGCCAGCTCCTATGCTGGGTTTCATTTCATGTTATTACTTAATTAGAATTCCTATTTATAAATAAATAGTACCAGTAAAATATTACATCTGAAGAACCCTACCATAACACTTTACTTACACACTTTTTTTAATACTGTTTTCGGCTTTCAGTAAACACAGTTTTGTGTTGGCATTGGTGTGGGCGTGGTTTCTTTGGCGAGATATCATTGGTGACTGTGTCTTGCCTCTTCTGTAGGAATTGTGCATTTTGCTTGACATCCAGTTTGGGTTGTTGGTGATGGAGGTTTGGAAGGTTGGGGCTGGCCTTGTTTTTTTCAAAAAAAATTTTTTTAATCAGGAAGAATATTTATTTTGGCTTTTTGTCCACAACTCTTGTCAACACAGAGCTTGCACTGTTATCACAGTCCTGCCTACATGTAAACGGGGGCTTTTTAAGTTTTTCAAAGCAAGCTTTCCGGAAGGGAAGCTATAGGCCACGTTTTAGCGACAGACAGCTGGAAAGACAGAGCTGGCAAGATGGTAGGGCTGAATAAGATAGGATGCCAGGGAGCGTCAGTGTTATCCTGACTCCATGGGTAAGTAGAGGCAAAACTGAGCACGTGATATTGGAGAAGGCAGGACAAAACCAAAGCAAATGGGGACATACAGAGGCTTTTCAGAAACATCACATGGCAGAGGTAGGTGCTTTTCTTAGTCAAGGGGAAACGTGAATTTAGGTTTCAGGGATGGTTTACTTGAAGGGAATCCCGCAAGTACATATTTTGAAATATACTTGCCTCAGACCTCCCCCCAAATAAGGGACTGGGTCCCATTAAGAAAATTGAAAGAAAAAAATATATTATCATTTATTATATAACAATGTCAACATTAACACCAAGACAGGGACAGACTCCAACTACGCACTAGGGAAAAACACTCAATGAGGCAAGACTTTCTAGAGCCCAAAAGAAGGAATGGGGGAAGAGATCTGGGGAGTAGCGTGAATGTGGCTGGTTGATGGGTGTGGTGGTAGTGGGGGGTGGGACTCATCTTTTTGTGTTTGTTTTTTTAAGTTTTGAGACAAAACAAGAAAGTCACATTTTTAAAATTGTGGTTTCAAGCTACTGATTAGATCAGCATCCAGCGACCTTGAGTGCAGATGTGAACATTGGGTGAAATGAAAAATCTTGTCCGTGGGGTTCTCTTGGCTACTGTCTCTCTCCTTCTCTCTCTTTCTCCTCTCTCTCTCTCTTTCTCTAGGAAATGTCTGTTGTGAAGCAGGCCTCACTTTAGCTATTGTCGCTCCACTCTGGCACCATGCCAACTCCGTGCACAGAGTGGTACTGATGAGGGGATAGAGTCCTTGGCACGCCATGAGAGTAGAGGAACTCAGGGGGCTGAAGGGTGCCAGGGGACTGCAGGCCAGTCTGAGGCCCACACTGCCTGACCACAGGCTGGTGGGCCACGGAGGTCTGGTGCTGGAACATTCCCTCTCCCAGCTGTGGGGAGCCATGGTTGGCCATGCCAGCCAGCCGAGGGACCAGGGGCCCCGAGGTGAAGTGAGCGGAGAAGTGCTGGTAGGGTAGCCTGTCCATGGGCTGCACGGTGGTGACGGTGCAGCTGCTGTAGGAAGGCATGCTTGGCCACGTGTTGCAGCTGATGTCCTCTAGGCTGGGCACAGGCTCGCTGGGGGGCGCAGAGCTGGCATACATGCAAGCTTGCCGCTGTGCCGACTCTGTCCTGTAGGAGGCACCCAGGCCCTGCTGCTGTGGATAGCTAGAGCGGTAGAAGGAATCTTCTTCACTGGGTGATGTCTCCATGTAGGGCTTCTTATAGGGATGGTCTGTGGTGGAACATTCTTCCTCTGTGAAGACAGGAGAGACAGCAGTGAGGCCAGGAGCAGGCACCAGGCAGCTAAAAGTGGAGACAGTTATTTGGCCAAAGTACTGAAGAATAAGTCCTGAGAGACTGTTAGCCCTAACCGCCATTCTGAATACAAAAAAAGGGGGTTGGATTGTAATGGTTAAGACCTTGGGCTATGGAGTTCTATGCAAACAGTTTGACCTTTCTGGGTTCAGCTTCTTCATCTGTAAGATGGAAAGGGTAGGAAATAGCACTTCCTACAAAGGGCAGTGTTGAGAATTAAATGGGAAAATACATGAAGCACTTAGTCCAGAGCCCAGAAACACTCAATAAATAGCAACTAACCAGGTGCAGTTGTGCACGCCTATAGTTCCAGCTGCTCGGGAGGCCAAGGAAAAAGGATCACTTGAGCCCAGGAGTTTGAGACCAGCCTGGGCAACATAGTGAGACCCCCCATCTCAAAAATAAATAAATAGCAATTATTATTATCTTTCCTCTTCTCCAGCATGTAAATTTCATAAAAGCAGGACATTTTCTGCCTTATCCATGACTATATTCCCAGAACCTAGTAAACACCTACTATTAACAACAGCATCAACAATAAGTCAAAACAAACATATACAGTGTGTACTCTGCGTAGCACGATTCTAAGCACTCTCCAGGAAGTAACACATTTAATCACAACAACCCTACCAGGTGGGTTTTACTATTATCCTCATCTTACAGATGAGAGAAAAAGGACTCACGGAGGTTAAGAAACTTGCCCAAGGTTTCACATGGCTGATAAACAGTAGAGCCAGGATTAGAATCCAAGTAGTCTGACCACAAAGCCCTTGTTTTTCACTGTCTTGATACATAGAGAAAGCATGCAATAAATATTTGTACGATGGATGGATGGATGGATGGATGGAT
This sequence comes from Homo sapiens, assembly GCF_000001405.40. NCBI lineage: Eukaryota > Metazoa > Chordata > Mammalia > Primates > Hominidae > Homo > Homo sapiens. Next base: position 114,357,018 of record NC_000012.12, read on the forward strand.
GGATGGATGGATGCATGGATGCATGGATGCATGGATGAGTGGGAGGGAGCTTGAATGAATGTTCAAATTCTTTCCTGATTCCTTATGTAAGCATGTGCCTAGTTAGTATTTGTTAAGTTGGTACAAGTTAATGTGTTGCTGTTTCCTGCTGAGCAAGTCCCTTCCCTTCCCTGTGTACTAGTCATTTCCTAGTGTAGGGAAGTGGAGATAGTTTTGTCTCTGAAAGGGGGTCTCCTTTCACCACTTCGGGGCCACTGGCCCCTTTGAAAACAAGAAAAAGTGCTGGGCTCTTTCCTAGAAAACTGCATTGAAACACAATGTTTTGAAAACTGCATGTGCATACAAGGCTTTGCATACAATTTCAGGGGGTTCAAAGACTCCCTAAAACCCAGACCCCAGGTTAAGAAGCCTAGACATGTCTGGATTTGAATCAGGCTCCTTTACTTAATATCTGCGTGATACCAGCAGGGCATCTACGCTCAGAGACTCATCATCATCTCTGAATCAAAGTGAGTAATACTTACCTTACTGGGTAGCTAAGAACTAAGATTGAGCATGTAAAGTCTCCTGATTTCCGTCAACATGAACAGCTCTTGTTGCAGGGCTAACACCACCAGTCAGGCTCATGGCAGACATAATTCACAATAATACCCTCAAAGTATTCCCTTCAGGGGAAGCAATACTTGGGGATATCTACCAAAGTATAAACCTCAACACAGACTCATTACTTATCTGAAATTTTACCTTCCAAACTGAAAATTCTCTTTCCTCATCTTTCTGTCTCTTTCTAGTCAATAAATGTTAAGAAATTATGTCTGTCTTTGGAGAAGTGAAGAAAAATGAAACACTGGGGCATCCATGCAACTCACTGTGATGGCTCATGGCCATGAAAACAGAATGCTGAACTAAATAACGAGAGGAAATGATCAGAGCTATTATTTATTGAGTACCTACTACATGACCTTACTCTTCATCTCACAGTAATTCCTCAAGGTGTCTGCTGTAATGCCTGTCTCATAAAGGCAGAAACTAAAGCTCAGAGAAGTGACTTGCCCAAGGTCACATGGCTGAGAAGGAACAGAGGCTGGAATCTAAGCCAGATTGGATTGACTTTGCCTACACACCTTGCTTCCAACTCTCTAGATTTCTAATACCCAGTGCCACTCATGCAATCATACAGCAGATAATTACTGAGCTGCTCCAAAGTGCTAGGTATTGTGCCAGGTGCTGGAGATAGAGTGGTGAACATGATCCCGTTTTTGGTGCATGTCCTCAATCCCAGTCTATCCTACCATGAGCAGTAAGTGAGGGAGGCTGACACTCTGTGACTGAGAGGTGGTCCTCAGATATAAAGACACAAGTAAGCCATTGACTCAAGACTAAATCCTTTGGCTTTGGACTGGTTTGTAAAATAGCTCCCAAACCCAGGTAGAGTAGCTTGGGTTTGGATTCCACCAATCAGCTCCATTTGTATCAATGTCCAAGTGACACCCACAGATAAGCCAAAAGTATCCACAAACAAAACATATCTCTTAGGGTTGTGCCCACTTAACAGCAAGTAAACTTATTTCCACTAGACTCTTTCTGGGCCACATATGGGACTTATAGGATACCAAAAAAATTTGTACCAAAAATAAAAAAAAAAGAAAAACACACTCTTCCAGGTGTTCTATCTACATCATGCCAACCATGCAGATGTTTGAAAACATCCAGATGAATGAACGGCCACATTTTTCACCTTTTAACTGTGCGGGGTTTTTTTTGTTTGTTTGTTTGTTTGTTTGTTTGTTTGGAGGCTTGAAGACATTGCTATACTCAGCTTCTTTTTGTCCTCACCACCTCCTCCCTTGATTCCTTTCCTTCAATTCTTCCTTCCTTCCCCCAGATTCATAAACCTGAGTGTTTCCATTGTTGCTGGAATCATAACCTTTGGGTTTTCCAATTAACCAGGGTGTTACCCTTTTCAATAATAGAAAGTACAGCTGCAGGGCACCCTTAGCAAGAGGAAAAAAAAACAAGGCAAACTAACTATTTTCAAGTTTCTGATCCCCTTCCAGATTTGTTACAAGTAAAAAAGGAAGAATAATAAGAAAACGGCCGGAACACATTTTGGAAAATCGTAAAATTATACATTCCAGTCTTTAATACCCCAAAGATCTAATGCAGAGCACTAAGAAAAACTCAATCTTGGCTTATTGATGAAAGCAGGTCCTGAACATTCTCAAATTCCTCTCAGGCCTCATCACATTGTAAAGAAATTCCAACTCAAGGATCCAAATTTCAGGTCAGTCATGATAAATGCTCTGGATGTAATCTCTGTGTTTATTTTGGTTATGGCTCAGTTTCTTTCTTTTTTCTCTTCTTTGAGAGCCCAATAACTGTTCAACAGCAAAGACCTATCTCCAGCCAAGTCATGATTAACTTTCAGGGTTGGTAAATGGGCTATACTTAAGTATCAAGTCTTCTGATGAGATGAGTCCACAACTCGGCTTCAGAAAGTTGCATATTAAGAGTGGTCAGTTATATTGCAACTATCCTAAACCGAAATGAGTCTCTTAGGTAACAGTAAATTCTTCCTGATTCTGACCACTCATTATGGCATGGCACTGTAGAAAACCCTAGTACTTTGGATTTTTCTAGATATTTTTGATTCCGGATAAAGTGAATTTAGTAATGCATCCAAGGCACAGATATTAAGGCACAGAGTTACAGCTCCAATGCTCGCTCGCCATGTGACTGGATGAATCACCAGGTCATTCCAATCTCAGTTCTTGATTGTAAATGGAGATAATACCTGAACTTTTTATGAGATTTAATTGAGGTAATAATGAGGGCAGTTGAGTTTTTATCTTCCTTGCACATAAAGCATTCAAATCTTGTCTGTCCAAATGACCTGGGTCCATTCTCTTTTCCCTCTTTCTCTTTTGGAAGACTGGATAGATAGCTTTCTGAAAGTTGTCCCATACTTAATAGTATTTGGGTAGATTACAGAGCTGGAAAGCTCACAGAGTGCTTTTAAATACTAATCCTATTGAGCAAATATTTTCACTATTCCCAAATGGGTCATTTCTCTTGCCAATTCAGTTCATTCAGATGAAGAACCATTGGCGAGTCTTCCCAGACAGAGACCCTGAAACTCAGAGTAGTAATCTTTCTAGCTGAGTGACCTTCAGCAAGTTGGGAAGGTGGCTATAATTCAGGTCTTCTGACTCACAAAGCAGTGCTCATTCTGACAGATGGCCCCAGGCTTTCCATTTCACGCAACCCTACATGCTCAGCCAACATGAAAAGGTAGCAAACCTTGACTCTTATGGATGAGTGGGTGGATGAGTAGATGGATGGATGGGAGGATAGATGTATGGGTGGGTGGGTGGGTGGATGGATGGATGAATGAATGAGTGGGAGGATTGGTGGATGAGTGGGTGGATGGATGGGTGGTTGGATGGGTGGATGGATGCATGGATGGGTGGGTGGGTAGATGGGTGAATGGATGGGTGGGTTGATGGATGAGTGAGTGGTTGGGTAGGTGGATGGATGGGTTGATAGATGGGTGGGGGGATGGATAAGTGGGTGGATGGATAAGTGGATAGGTGGGGTGATGGCTGGATGGATGAGTGGGTAGATGGATGAGTGGGTGGATGGATGAGTGAGTGGATAGATAGATGAGTGATGGATGGGTGGATGGATGAATGAGTGAGTGGGTGGATGGGTGGGTGGATGGGTGAATGGTGGGTGGATGGATTGGTGGGTGGGTGGATGAGTGGGTGGATGACTTTTTGTTGTTGTTGTTTTTGTTGTTGTTGTTATTTGTTTTTGGTGTCCCCATGCTCTTAGCATAAAGTAGGAAGGGTTGGAATGGTATTGTGCGAAGATTCTCAACGAGAAATCAAAAGACTCAGTTTGAAACATCACCTAGTCACTACCTGAAACCAATAAATTTACTTACTGGCTTATTATATGTCTCATCCAGTAAGAATTCAAGTTTCTTGAGAGCGGGAGCCTTTTCCACCATGTCCTCCACTTATCCCAAGCACCTAGCACAGTGTCCATTATACATTAAGTGCTCAATAAATAAAGATTAATCTGATGCATCCATCCCAGATCTGCCAATCATCAGCCACATAAGCTTAAAATCTAACCCTGTCTCTTGGTCCTCCATTAGATCCCTGCAAAATAGAGATGGGTGGCATCTCCCCTAGTCCAAAGACTGCTGCAGGGAACTGGAGAATCAGCAAAGGAATGGATGTGAAATCGCATTTTAAAACATAGCACTCAGAAAATGCACCCTGCAAAGCCCTTTTCCATATCGAATTCCCCTTCCCCTCTCAATCTCTAACTTTCCTTTGAATATCTGATTCAGCTCATGGCTTTGCTAGAATCTTTATTTGGGTTGCTTTTAGTTTCTAATGCGAGTGGGGGTGAGAGTCAGGGGTGAGAGGGAGAAAGACAGACAAGTGCTCTCCCAGGCCCTGGGGTCCTGGATTTGATTGAGTGGCATTGATAAAAGACCTTCCCAGCTTTTTTGGCTCAGTCCATCGGGAGAGATAGTTTGGAGACAGCCGGTTCCAAACACAAGGAGCCCTCCGGCCTGCCTGGCCCTGTGACATTTCATTGGGCCTGACTCCTGGGCTCATTGGAAAGGAGACAGACAATGAGGGGAAGTCAGATAGTGGGGCAGGCAGGGGCCAGGGGGAAAACCACCCATGGAGTTATCACTTAATGAGAATCCCAACTGGAAGGAAACCTCGGCTGATTCCTTATCACTTTACAGTGTGGAGGCTGATGATGAATTGCTATTTGTTGTCTCCTAGGCAGGACAGAGAGCCCTCGGTTGGAATGTTCCCTGTCACTGGGAGCTCCCTTTTGGGGGTGGAGGGAGGTGAGAAGGGCAGAGTTTCTGGAAAGGTGAAAGGATTTCTCCAGGGTGCATACCCCATTCACCCTGAGCCCACAGGCCTCAGTATACATCTCAAGCTGGGCCACTCACGAGCTGAGTGACTTTGGGTAAGTTCCTCAGTGTTGGTTTCCAAATCCACAAAGAAGTGGGGTAATTCTTCACCTTGTTATCGCCAACCAGCCACTAAGGCCTGATTCCACCCACATCTCCAGCTTCTCCCCACACCCTGGTCGGAGCCACCATCTCCTGTTTCAGACCCCATGACAGCCTTTCAATGGGTCTCTGGTGCCAACTAAATAGTCCTGTGCTATCATAGCACAGTGACTGCTTCCAAATAAAGAACTTAGGCATGTTACTCACAAATTTAAATCCCTCCAATGGACGTGCACTGGTGGTAGGATAAAATCTGACATCTTTCATTAAAATGGCTTATACAGGCTGGCATCTCACTGGTCCCTGCCTTCCCCTCTAGCCCTCATCCCCCACCACTTTGCCCTTGCCTTGAGTGCCAACATCTCAGCCTTCTGTTCACTCCCCAGGGGGCAGGCTCTCCCTCAGCCAAGGGGCTTCATGCATGCTTTCCTCTATGTGTGGATACCCTCACACCTCCCCCTTCTCCTATCCAGCACTCAGTCTCCTCTGATCTCAGCCTCAATGCTTCCCTGATTGCCTACCCTAGACTGACACTCCAGTTTGATATTCCTTAACACTTTGCATATCTCCTTTATAGCATTCAATCATTTATTTTATTTTATTTATTTATTTTTTGAGACAGGGTCTCTCTCTGTCACACAGGCTGGAGTGCAGTGGTGCAATCACAGCTCACTGCAGCCTCGAACTCCTGGGCTCAAGCAATCCTCCCATCTCAGCCTCCTGGGTTGGCTAGGACCACTGGCATGTGCCAACATGCCAGACTAATTTTTTATTTTTTGTAGAGATGGAGTCTTACTATGTTGCCCAGGCTAGTCCCAACTCTTGGACTCAAGCAATCCTCCAGCCTCAGCCTCCCAAAATGCTGAGATTACAGGTGTGAGCCACAGTGCCAGGCTTCACAATTTCAATTAAGCAATTTATAATTACTTGTATAATGTCCAACCTGCTTGCAACCGTATGAGCTTCACAAGGGCAGGCCTGTGGCAAGCACATGTTCATTGAGCACTTGTAGGTGCCAGACACTGTTCTAGGTGCTTTCTGTGGATGATCTCATTTCCCCTCATCACAACCGTATCAAGCAGGTGCTATTGTTATCCTCATTTTGCACAAAAGATAGTTGAGGCCCAGAAAGGTAAAACAACTTGCCCCTGGGCACACAGCTGCCAAGTGTCGTCAACTGTGAGTATTACTACAGTGGATCAGCCCCCAACTCCAGCTTCCCCAGTGGCCACTCCAAGTTGATTTTAAGCTCATCCAAGGATCCAACAAACAGTCCATGAAAGTCAAGTCATAACCTAAGAGGTTTGTGAACCGTGCATTCAAAGCCTCCCTGCCGCATCCTTCAGGGATGCATTTATAAGGATGCTGCTGTAAATATTGAACCTAAAAAGCACCATGATCCTTTTTAACTTCTTCCTGCCTGTCTTTTGGTCTGGCATTAATTTAATCGATTAGAGCTCCCGAATTCAAACCTGGTGAGCTCTTAATCAGCATGTTTGACCCAGTCTCAAAGACAGATCTTCAGTGGAAAATGAAATTTTGAGATTGTAGCAGATGAGCAAAGGTAACCAAGACGGTATAGAGTAGTGGTGAAATGCACACGTATAGAATCTGCAGACCAGGCTGGGGTTCAAGAACCACTGGCAGTTTTTGTTTGGAACCTTTCTGAGCCTCAGTTTCCCCATTGATAAAGTGGGTTAATAATAGCATCTACTCCATAGTGTTGTCGAAAAAGCTTGATCTGGGACTTAGGAAGGGCACCCTTAAATATAATATAAAACAGAATCTCTATTCAGGGACCTGTGTCCCATAGGACATTCTTAACCTCCTGCTCATGCCTAAAGAGGCAGACATATTTGCAGGCATCTGGTCTCCAGTCCATCCGGCAGCAGACGTGCCGGGAGTCACGCCAGGGGGCCTGTTGGAGTGATATTGTTCAGGCCTTTGAGATTCAAGGAGTTTGGATTGGCTTCAGGTAAGTCTGGAAGTCAGGCCTCATCCAGGTCAGCTCCTAGCCCCATGTAAATACCAATGACAGCTCTTCCCTCCTTTAAAACGCAAGATTGGTAAATGTCAAATAGTCAAACTATGTTACTTTCCTCATGTAACCCCAGCTCCAGAAAAAGCTACCAAAGCATCCATTCCCATTGGTTGTTAGCGAGTTATTTTTTCCTAAAGGGCTAGGCACTGGGCACTGGATTCACAAAGGCTTGTGTTGACCACTGAGGCTGTGAGGTTCAACAGGCCACTTTGTAGATTAAAATTAGTGTCTTTTAGAGCAAAACAGCTACTACTTTCTGAGTCAACCCTGAGATAACATATGATGTGTATGATTTTTTGACATCTCTGCACCAAGCCTATGAGACAAGTCGTACCCTGAGCCCATATTTACAGATTTTTAAAAATGAGGCTTGGAAAGGTTAAGCAACTTGTCACTACTTATGAAAATTTTTAAATTGCAAAGGTGAACTTCATCCTGATTGATTCTACAGACCACAGATGTAAACTTTAGCCTACCCCATCCCTTCTGTATCTGTCTTCTCAAGCTCTCACCTAGAGAGGCAGTCTTCTCTGGGAAGACTGATTAAATTAATGCCAGTCCAAAGACAAGAGGCAGATTCCTCCTGGGAATCACCTTCTGGAGCGATATCTGCCACATACCCAATCATGGCTGCCACCTACTGCGTACTTGCTAACTATCAGATGCTTTAGGAAACATATCATTTACAAAGTGAGAAACTGAGGCTAGGAGAGGCTAGAACACCTGAGTGAGGTCACACAAGAAGCAGGGAGCAGAGATGAGATTCAAACCCGCATCTCTCTGTCCCCAAAGGCTGCAGTCTCCCCACCATACCATCTACAGCTCACACCAAGCAATGGTTCTATCGAGCTGAACTCCACCACACCACCTGTGCCAAACACTTCTATTCTGGCTCACAAGAAGGGCCACCAGAAAATTCTTTCTTTAGCTTAGCCCCTTTGGACTTGGATGACTTAGAAAAAAAAAAAAGCCATTTATTTCTCATGTGGCAAAGAAAACTGCGGAATGCCTCAGCTTAGTAGATTTAAATGGGGGATGAGACGGGGAAAATCATTTGTGATGTGTGTGTGTGTGTGTGTGTGTGTGTTGGTTTTGATCAGGAAAAAAAAAAAAAGAGTTCAAAATCCACCTGGGAGAAACACTGACACATATGCCAGAGAAGCATTGATAGTCACAAGGGGTTTTCCTGCATCACGGCTTGTAATACCATCAGGGACCACTCAAGCAACCTCCCTGCCTACCAGAGGGAGTGACAAAATAAACTCCATTTTATCCTTTCCAGTCAATTCTTCCTCCTTAGCAGTTAAAAATAAAATAAGGCAGTCTAGGTTCATAAAAAGATACCCAAAACACATTCTAAAGTTTAAAAGAAAAAAAACAGCAAGTTGCAAAATACATACAGTGTGATTTCATCTATATTAAAAGTTTTTAAAAAAAATTTTGGGTGTGGTGGCTCAGGCATGTAATCCCAGCACTTTGGGAAGCCAAGGCAGGTGGGTCACTTGAGCCCAGGAGGTTTAGACAAGCCTGGGCAACACAGTGAGACCCTGTCTCTACAACAACAACAAAAATTTAGTACAGTGTGTGAACGCATGCCTATAGTCCCAGCTACTAGGGAGGCTGATGTGAAAGGATCACTTAAGCCCAGGTGGTTGAGGCTGCAGTGAGCCATGACTACACCACTGCACTCCAGCCTGGGTGATAGAGCAAGATCCTGTCTCAAAAAAAAAAAAAAAAGAAAAAAAAAAGTAAAAATAAATCTAGTTCTTTCTCTGCACTCGCCACGTGTATGTGTGCATAAATGAATACAATAGGTCTGAACATTTCAAATAAGCTTTCTCCAAAGGAGGGGCTGGAACTGGGGGTAGGAACATGTCAAGGGAACTTTTTGTTTTAGCTGTTTGGTTTAAATTTCTTATCTCCATATATTTTTGTGTTGTTTACATTTTTAAATAAATAAAGTAAATAAATGAATACTCCTCACCCCCTCACCCCCAACCCAAGGAAAGGAAAAGGTAAGAAAGAAAGCAAATTGACCAGGGGTGATCACACTCACCTTTCCTCTTGGTACAATGGTAAATTTGGCTATGCTCCTGGGGCAGTGGGTATGGGTTGGGTGGAGGCAGGAGGTCCTGGGAGGGGCCGGAAACACCATTCTCACACTGGTATTGGGACCCCAAATTGGATGAGGTGGAGAGAGCTCGAGACTCGCTGCTGAAAGGACTGTGGTTGGAGGCCACTTTTTGCCTCACGGTGCTCCTGGGGACCACGGGATATTCTTTACTGAAAGAGAAAAGATGGGAGATAACGCCTATCAGTGCCCTGATACAGATTTCCTGAGTGGCTGAACCAGGTGTGAGAGAATCCACCAGAAAAGTCACAGAATAAGGAAAAAAAAGAGGTCTTTGATGAATAAAATGATCCAGTTATATTCATGTCCATCATATTTCACAAATGTATATTTGGGTACTAATTTTTCATGCCTTATACATTAGGCAAGTAGATTTACCAACAGTTCTATACCTCAGCAGAAAAGTAAATAAACACCCCCAGTTAAGAACCCCTTTTAACAATCAATAAACACACATGGTATTTTGAAATATGTCAATTTAGTCTATGTATGTCTTTAAATTCCCTAATTTGAAAGCTAGTTAATCTGAGTATTTATTTAGACTTAACCTGTGGGTGTCCATCTTTAAGGTGGGGCTCAGGTCATTGCCCAAAGTTAGTAAAAACTGGTAGCTGACAACCTAGGAAGGTCAGGTATAATCCTAAGTTACTCTCATCTGGATAGATTGCTGCTAGTGTCAGAATTTCCTCCTGAGCTTCTGTCCTTGTGGCCACTGATATACTTAACTTCTCCATACCTTAGTTTTCCCATCTGTAAAGTAGGGATAATGAATGTCCCCAGTTCAAAGGGCTGTTGATAGAAGAAACGGGTTAATGAGTTAACCATGAAAAGACTCAGAAAGGTACATGGCACAGAGTAAATGCTCAACAAATGGCAACCATCGTCATTACTGTTATTGTTTTGGGCAGAGAGAATAGAGGGAGGGAAAAAAGAGAGGGAAAGAAAATGAGAAAGAAGGAGGAACAAGGACATAGAAGATTTAAAAAGAAAGAAAGAAAAAAGAAACAAAAAAGGAAAGAAAGAAAAGAAAAGAAAAAATCAGCATGGGATCTAAGATTACGCAGCTCCCAATTCAGGCCCCATCCCTATCCCTTACAGGCTGTGTGTCCATCTGACACACAACCCTCCCCTGAGCTTCAGGGCTCACACAGGCAAAGTAAGCATAATAAAAATTCCATGACATCATAGGTATAGCATCCCTCAGTGTGCTCAAAATCTGGCCCCTCACACTCTTAGGACTGGTCCTCCACATTCCCTTACCTTCAGATTTCATACCAGGTGTTCCCATTTTTTTTCCTCAGAAGGACTCAGTAGAAACCTCTCCTGGGAAGAAGGAAAGTCGTGCTGTGCAGCAGCAGGAGGCTCAAAGGAAATGAGAGAGGTGGGGAATGGATGGGATGTGGAAGGTTGCAGAGGAGTAGAGAGAAGGTGGGGGTGGGGGTGCTTCAAGATAGAAGGGACAAAGAGAGAAATATCCAAGTATGTGAGAGAAGAAGAGCTTGACCCCTAACATCCCATATCCAGCATTTAGGATGGGGATAGGGAATCTTGGGCATGGCATTTACAAACTGCATATATTGCTAAACAGCCATTTAAAACATATTTTGGTAACTATATTTCAAATATAATTGGCTTCTCTTGTAACCTATGTATTCTATTTCATGCATTTAATCATATTATTCTTAGAGATGATTCATAGGCTTCAACACACTGCCAGAGAGGCCCATGGCATCAAACAGTTTAAGAACCCCTATCCTAGAAGGAGCATGTGTCAGTAAATCCCAAACTTCAGTCAGACACAATTTTCACCATGACATACAGCCATCTATTCTTTAACTTATGACATTTTAAAAATTAATCATTTATCTAAATAAGTTAAGCTTCACTATAAGTGATCATATCTGTGAAATTACAGGCTTGTGGTGCTAATTATAGTTATTTTAATGCAATTAAGACGAATGTTTATGTGCCTATGGTCATAGCAACTCAGGAGGCTGAGGCAAGAGGATTGCTTGAGCCCAGGAGTTTGAGGCTGCAGTGAGCTATGACTGCACCATTGCACTCCAGCCTGGGTGACAGAGTGAAACCCTGTCTCAATCAATCAATCAATCAATCAATCAATCAATGCTTAACTATTAAAATTAAAGAGTATACCTGAAATAATATCATGCGCAAAGAGCTACACGTAACGCATTTTGAAGGATCTTGAATTCGTCCATTTCATCCTTTCTATGACTCTATGTGATAGGTATTATCTTTGATCCCATTTTACAGATGAGGAAGTTGAGGCCCAGGGAGATGAAGCAACTTGTTCAAGATCACAGAGTTAGAAAGAGACACAACTAGAATTCTAATCCAATCATTTCCTCATAACTTTTGCATTGTATCCTAATGATGTCTTTCAATTTTTAGAACACAATATGCTTTTAGGGGAGCAGGGTTTTGGGGTACAAGACTCTTTCTACTTCTACCCCCTCAAGTGTGTGAACATCTCCACCCTATGTCCCTGCCTTTGTTTGTCATGTGAAAGCACACCAGAGTGGCCAGGCAGGAACACAGAGCATCTGCCAAGTTTCCATGAGTCTACAGACACCCTCAGGACACCCAGGGGTCTCCTAGCCCAGCTTCCCTGTGCCATCTCAGAACCAAAGCTGGAGCCATCCGAGCAGCCGCACCAGTCAGAATCTCCCCCTGGGGCCAGGAGGCTGAAGGGAATGGAATTAGCTTTACAGCTCTTGCTTTGTGGTTCAAGCTACGTAATGGAAAAAAAAAAGAAAAAAAGAAAAAGAAGAAAAATTATAATAACAATAAAACATTATAAAAGTTGTCAAAACTTGCCGACAATTCTATTTAGATCTATTTAGTTCCAATATTTTGCTGTCAGAGCTCCAAGAGGAAGGGGGAAATCTCTTTTGGTTTTATATTTTTAATAGGAACAGTTTTTCTTTTTAATTAAAGAAAATAACCTCCAAAAAATGTTGGCTGAGAGAGTTTACAAGAGAATGTATCAATGGACTCCGTGGAATTCTCCGTTCCAGTACAGCCAAATTGCAAAATTGCTCTCTGGAAAGGCCAAGTCCTGCTTTTGATTACTAACACAGAAGTGGGAAAAGCAATATCATCCCAATAACCACTTGTCCCTCACAGCTTGTTTCCCTCTAAAGAGCCTGAAACATCATCCCCAACACCGATCGTGAACATCTCTGTTAATGCCTGAAATACGATGTCCCCAAACCCCTCTGACAAGTGTCAAAATATGGGCATGGAATGGGGAAGTGACTTCTCAATCATTATAGAATTACACATGCAAAGGAAAGAAAATGTTAGAATCAAACAACAGCGGGGCAATTTTCACAGAGCTCATCCATGGATCAAAGGAACGGTCAACCAAAGAGACGTGGTTAGTATGACAGAAATCTCTAAAGTCCTCCAGATGAGAAGATAAAACTATTTTCTTCTACAGCTTAAGAACATCCATGAAGAAGCAAGGACACAAGAGAATTAAAGTGAAAGTTGAAAAGCCCTTCTGTCTCTAGAAATACAGGCAGCAAAAGGAGCCTGCTCTTTTTTTAATCATCATCATCATCATTCTCATCTACATTGTTCTTCAATGCCTCCTAATGTTCCAGCCACCGTACTGCTTGACTTATATGCTTATCCTGATTTGATCCTGGCAAGAACCTCATTTCACAGGTACAGTTACATTTACATTAGAGATAAGAAAATGCAGATGGGCCAGGCACGGTGGCTCACACCTGTAATTCCAGCACTTTGGGAGGCTGAGGCAGGCAGATCACTTGAGATCAGGAGTTCAAGACCAGTCTGGTCAACATGACGAAACCTTGTCTCTACTAAAAATACAAAAATTAGCTGGGCATGTACTTGGGAGGCTGAGGTAGGACAATCACTTGAACCTGGGAGGTGGAGGTTGCAATGAGCCAAGATAGCACCATTGCACTCCAGCCTGGATGACAAGAGTGAAACTCTGTCTCAGAAAAGAAAAGAAAAGAAAAGAAAAGAAAAGAAAAGAAAAGAAAAGAAAAGAAAAGAAAGAAAAGAAAAGAAAAGAAAAGAAAGAAAAGAAAAGAAAAGAGAAAAGAAAAAAGAAAAGAAAGAAAAGAAAAGGCAGGTACAGAGAGGTCAAGTGACTTGTCCCAGACCACACAGCTAAGAGGCAAAGCTGAGTCTCACCCAGGGTCAATCCTATTCCAAAACTCACGCCACCTAATACTTTAAAAAAAGCACACACACAGAAATGTATTTTCTCATAGTTCTGGAGATGTGGGTGCTAGCATGGTCAGTTTCGGGTGATGCCTGTCTTCCTCGCTTCTGATGGCCGCCTTCCCTCAGTGTCCTCACATGCCAGGCAGGGAGGGTTAGAGTGGGGGATGATCTCTCCCTCTCTCTCTCTCTCTCTCTCTCTCTATCTATCTATCTTCCTCTTTTTTATATGGCCACCATCCTGTGAGATTAAAGCCCCACACTTATGACCTCATTTAACCTTTTTTTTTCCTATCAGTTATCATGTTTATTTTTTTCACATGACATTTTAAAAATTTTTTTGTTTTGGGGGAATAGGTAGTGTTTGGTTACGTGGATTAGTTCTTTAGTGGTGACTTCTGAGATTTTCATGAACCCATCACCCGAGCAGTGTACACTGTACCCAATATATAGCCTTCTATCCCTCATACCCCTCCCGCCCTTCCTTCCAAGTCCCTATATCAAGGGGAATGGTGGAACGGGGATGAGTGATAAAAGTCCCCATAAGCCCATTATATCAGCCACCTAACTAATGCTTAATAATAAGCAATTGTTACCTCCATACCAACTACTTGGCAAATCCCACTTTATAAAGCATGCTGGTAATGAGAGAATTGGATATTGGCTCCACCCGGGCAATATCAAGATCTACTGATCTATCCTACTCTTTGCAGAAACTTTAGTTTGCAACAGTCAAATCTCACTGCTCTCTGCTGTATCAAGCAGCTACACCTGCATCCCATGGACAAGCTCTGACAAGAGTCTGGGACCCCCGACCCCAACACGAGCTGGGGGTCCTGAGTACCTCAGCTGGCCTTGGGTATCAGCGCCCACAGACCAGCTTCTCCCCAGCTCTGCCCTTCTCTCATGTTCTGTTCCACGTGAGCGAGTGCAATGAATGACGCCATTGTCGCTGGGTCTGGGTTGTAAAACGTTACAAGGGAATATTGAAATCCACGGCCAAACTGCATCCTCAGCCTCCCTCCAGCTAATGAACACCCGGGAGAACGTTTTCCACTACAGCCGACTGAATTGGCCTTTTCATGGGAGCAGGTGGCAGGGGGCGCTGGCATGTTCAGATTTTTGTGTTTTTTTTTTTTTTTTTTTCCTGGTGATCCTTACCCAATTTCTGGCAGCCTTTTTCAAACAACTAAAGCAGTGCACTGGGGCAAGGCGAGGGACTGTGAAATCCCTCTTCTCTTGGAGCAAATTCCTCTTCTCGATAGCATTTTAATCTGTGATTAAAATTAAAAAGGGGGCCACATCACCCCTTGAGAGCTTTCTTGATTTCTTAACATTCTAATTCTAATACACTTGAGGAAGTTGTTCTGATCTAACATGCACGGACACGGCAGGGACTGCAGAGGGCACACCCAAGGCTGGATTTCGCCTAGTGCAAATAGTAAATAATCACTGGCTTCTTCAAGTCTGCAAAGTGCTTACTCAGTTTACACTACACCAGCAGGAGAAGGGCGCTGGGTACCATGTTGCTGATGAGAATAAGGGGACACAATGTTCTCACTTATAAGTGGAGCTAAAGAATGTGTACAACCTGGGCGTGGACATAGAGCATGGAATAACAGACATTGGAGGCTCCGACGGGTGGGAGGTGGGTGAGGGATGAGAAATTACTTAATGGATACAATGTACACTATTAAAGTGATACTTACACTAAAAGCCCGACTTCACCACTATGCAATAGATCCAGGTATAAAAGCTACCCTTGTACTCTCTAAATTTATACAAATTTCAAAAAAGAATGGGGGTGAGGGCACAAAGAGGTTATAAAACTTTCCCATTGTCGGTTTTTTTCTTTTGTTTTTAAGACAAACTCTCACTCTGTTGTCCAGGCTGGAGTGAGGTGGCATGAACATAGCTCACGGTGACTTCAGGCTCCTGGGCTCAAGGGGTCCTCCTGCTTCAGCCTCCCAGGTAGCTGGAACTGTAGGCATGTGCCACCACACCCAGCCAATAGTTGTATTTTTTTTTTTTTTAGAGATGGGGTCTTGCTATATTGCCCAGGTTGGTTTTGATCTGGCCTCAAGTGATCCTCCCCTCTGCCTCCCAAAGCACTGGGATAATAGACATGAGCCACCTTATAAGGCCTAAATTTCCCATTGTTGACTCAACCAGGGCTATATGATTTGAGGGGTGCCAAGAAACTCAAAGGCACTTCTCTCCCTGGCCTTAAGTACCCACCACTTGTAAAAATTTTGGTTTGGGGCCTTGGGTCCCACTTGTTAAATCTGTAGATAATATAGTATCAGAGTGGTAGCATCAAGCTCAGGCTCCGATGTCAGGCCAGGTGAATGTGCCTTCCTTCAGTATCCAGGCACGAACTAGACCACTCCATTGCTGGCTAGTTTCTTCCTTTACCCAAGCCTCAGTCTTCTGTCTATAAAATGGGGATAATAAAATAGCCACCTCTTTGGGGTTATAAAATGAAATGATGCATGGAAAGGCTTAGCGAATATATATACATACACACACACACACACACACACACACACACACACACACACACTGGGGACACATTGCTCAATAAACACTATTTTGTAAATATACATTATTATATTTTGGAGCAGAGGTTCTTACCCAGCAAGGGCTTCAAATGGGTATGAATACCCAAAAATGTCAAATATTTAGAGCTGATCACTTTTTCTAGGAAGAGGTTCACATTTGCATTGGCTACTCAAAAAGGGTCTGTGATTCAAAAAACGGTTTTGACTCAAACTATAGAGATGGTTCGGAAATCATGGAGAAAAGTCCTGGGCAATTCATGACATTACCCTTTGTCTCAGTTTCCCTGTTTGCATAACGGAGAACAAGAGGCCTATCTCACAGGGCAGGTGTGGATTCTGCGGGTAAAAGCTAGATGTAAAACTACAGACAACAAAGGACAATTCAAGCTAAACTTTGTAAAACTACAGACATAAAAGGACAATTCAAGCTAAAGTTTGTTTGTTTGTGTTTGTTTTTGAGACAGTCTCGCTCTGTCGCCCAGGCTGGAGTGCAATGGTGCAATCTCAGCTCACTGCAACCTCTGCCTCTCAGGTTCAAGCGATTCTCCTGCCTCAGCCTCCCAAGTAGCTGGGACTGCAAGCACCCACCATCATGCCCAGCTAATTTTTGTATTTTTAGAAGAGGCGGGGTTTCACCATGTTGGCCAGGCTGGTCTCAAACTCCTGACCTTGTGATCCGCCCACCTCGGCCTCCCAAAGTGCTAGGATTATAGGCATGAGCCACCGCACCCAGCCTCAAGCTAAACTTTTAATGAATTTATGGTAATAATTCATCAAATAGTCTAGTACTGAACTGAACAGCCAATATTTTAGTCCAGTCTTGTAAATTAACCATTTAAACCAGCTTAACTATGACTTAGGTTTAGTCTTTTCTTTTACATGATTTTGGAACAGGGGTAGGGTGGTGAGAAGGAGTCCTCCAAGGCCTCAATCCTTCTGGAAGCTGGAATGCTACAGCTTTCTCAAACTGCTTTCTGTACCAAAGGGATTGCCTTGGGGCATCCTTTGTTCTGGGGAAAATCATGTGGAGGCCACTGATGATCCAGAAGTAAGCCAAGGACTTCCTGGTGACCTTCGCTTCTGAGGATGACCTTGGCAAAGTCACCCAAAGCAACTATTTCTGAAGGAATGATAAATGTTTTCTGTGCTAATATAAAAGTCTGCCTCCTTCCCTGTTCAGAACAACTACAAGGTAGCAGGTCTCTTGGAAAATAAAATTTTAATGTGAGGATGTTAATTAGTGGAGTTGGGTGATTGGGGGACACGGCTTAGGGTGGGGATGGACAAAGACGAGGAACTTCCTCTAGGGGAGTTGGTTTCAAGCTTGGCTGCATACCATAATCACCTGGGAAATTAAAAATAGATATGTTGACACCCAAACTCACCCCCAGGGAATTTGATGTTATAGTTCTGGGGAACAGCATGGACACTGGGAGTTTTTAAAAGCTTCCCAGGAGAAAGAAGTCTTCCACAAAGAGTATACACTGGATGATCCTATTTATATGAAATTCTATAACAGACAAAACTAACCTATAGTGAAAAAAGTCAGGACATTGATTGCCTCTGGTGAAGAGAAGGAGGCAGGGAGTGACAAGGGGGCAGGAAATGAGAGAATTTTCTGGGGTGATGGGAATGTTCTATATTTGGATAGGGGCTTGGGTTTCACAGGTATGTGCATGTGCCAAACAGTGAGAGGTGTACTTAACATTTGTACATTTCACCCTATATAAATTCAACCTAAAATACAGGAGTGTGAACAAAAATTGAGTCCTAGTTAATGATGTGCACACTGTAGTGTTTGGGGTAAAATGTACTCATGTCTGCAATTTAATTTGAAATGCATCAATAAAAAGAAGGAGGGAGGGAGAGAGGGACGGAAGGATGGCTAGATGAATGGATGGATAGGTGAGTGGATGGAGGGATATGTGGTAGAGCAAATATATAGCAAAATTTTAATTGTAGACTCTAAGCAGTGAGTACATGGGCACTCATCGTACAATTCTTCCATGTTTCTCACACGCCTTCGATTTTTCATAATAGAACACTGAGGGGAGGACTACAGGTAATTCTAATGTTCAGTGTGAGTTGAGTACTAAGTAGAGAAAAGGGTTGCCTTTTGTGTAAAATGGCCCATACATGGGCTTTGTTTGCAGAAATACAATCACGTGTTCATCTGCATTCTCTAGTGCTCACTCATTCTCTAGAACCAAGGGATTACCCAAGTGTGACCAGGGGACACCTCCATCAGAGCCACTGGAGAAAACTGTTGAAGGGCAGTTTCTGACCCATCCCTGAAGCCACTGACTCAAACCTCTGAGAGTGAGACCTAGAAATCTTTTTTAACAAGCCCCCCAGGTAATTGTGATGTCTACCAAAAGTTTGAGAAACACTGCTCAATTGTGGATGAACTCAACTCAATAGTGGTGAAAAAAATCCCATTAAAAAATGGGCAAAAGACCTGAATAGACATTTCTCAAAAGAAGACATACAAATAGATAAGAGGTATAATAAAAATGTACAACTTCATTACTCATTGAGGAAATACAAATCAAAGCCACATGAGATATATCACCTTACACCTGTTAGGATGGCTATTCTCAAAAAGACAAAAGATAACAAATGTTGGCAAGGATGTGGAGAAAAAGGAATCCTTGCACACTGCTGGTGGGAATGCAAGTTGGTGCGGCCACCATGGAACACAGTATGGAGGTTCCCAAAAAAATTAAAAATAGAACTATCAGCCAGGTGCAGTGGCCCACGTTCTGTCATCCCAGCACTTTGGGAGGCCAAGGCAGGAGGATCACTTGAGCTCAGGAGTTCAAGACTAGCCTGAGCAACATAGCAAGGTCTTGTCTCTACTGAAATTGAAAAACATTAACAAGGCATGGTGGCACGTGCCTGTAGTCCCAGCTACTTGGATGGCTGAGGTGGGAGGATTGCTTGAACCCAGGAAGTGGAAGCTGTAATGAGCCCTGATCATGACACTGCACTCCAGCCTGGGCAACAGAGTAAGACCTTATCTCAAAACAAAACAATATATAAATAACAGAAAAATAGAACTCTCATATGACCCAGGGATATATGTATATCCCTCTTCTAGATATACACCCAAAGGAAATGAAATCAGTATCTTAAAGAGATATCTACACTCCCATGATCATTGCAGCACGATTCAAAAGAGCCAACATATGGAATCAGCCTGAGTATCCATGAGTGGATGAATGGATAAAGAAAATGTGGTGTGTATATATATACACACACACACACACACTAGAATACTATTCAGCCTTAAAAATAAAGAAGGAAATCCTCTCGTTTGAGACAACATGAATGAACCTGGAGGACATTGTTAAGTGAAACAAGCCGGACACAGAAAGATCAACATGACATGACTCACTTATAGGTGTAATCTAAAATAGTCAAACCTGTAGCAGTGGAGAGGAGAATGGTGGTTGCCAGTAGCTGGGGAGAAGGGCAATGGGGAGATATAGGTCAAAGGCATTTGTTATTCAAGAGGCAGTTATTCAAGAGGCATAATTCCTGGAGAGCTAACGTACAGCAATGTGAATACAGTTAAGAGCACAGTATTGTGTACTTAAAATTAACTAAGAGGGTACATCTTAAATATTTATATATATATATTAAAATATATATATACACAAGAAAATAAAATGGTAACTATATGAGGTGCTGAATATGTTAATTAGCTTGATTATGGTAATTATCTCACATTTACGTATATTAAACTATTAAGTTGTATAACCTAAGTATATACACTTTTTGTCAATTATACCTCATTAAAGATGAGGAAAAACACAGATGGGTGAGTGAGTTTCTCCCAACCCTGTTCCTGAATAGCAGATATGCTGGGGATGGGTTAGGTGGGGGTGGGGGTACCTGAGTGGGAAAGTGGGAATGTGGCGGGGTTGGGTTCTGAGCATCCATGCCTTGACAAATAACCATGACCCAAGATGAGATCCTTTCAGAAAAACATCTCAATTTTACAGCTTCACTTAGGCTGGCTCAGCTCCCCAGACACAACCCCGCTCTTGTTTTACATAAATGCACTGCTTCCCTGGAGGAAGCCATGTGGCTAGGTAAATTACAACCCTAAGAGGGGAGTTAATGCCATCTCCAGAAGGTTGTCTAATGTTGTCTCGAAAACCACTTCTCATTAATTGGGCATTCAGATTACCTTTAACCACAAGCATGAGAACACAAGAGTGCTAAGCCTTCAGTTTGAAAAATGATCATTTGAGGTTAAGAGCTGAAAATTAATTTAAAATCAGGAAGGAAGTAATAGAAGAGGGAAGGTTCAAATAGAAGAATTTTAACCTTTTAGGAGACCTAGGCCTTATACATCCCTTGAAATTGAATTTTTTTAATTGAGACAGCATTTTGCTCTGTTGCTCAGGCTGGAATGCAGTGGCATAATCACAGCTCACTGCTGCCTCAAACTCCTGGGCTCAAGCAATCCTCCTGTCTCAGCCAAAAGAGTAACTGCAACTATAGACACAGGCTATCATGTCCAGTTAATCTTTTTTTTTTTTTTTATCTTTTTCTTTTTCTTTTTTTTTAGAGACAGGATCTTCCTACGTTGCTCTGGCTGGTCTCAAACTCCTGATCTCAAGCAATTCTCCTCCTGTCTCAGCCTCCCAAAGTGCTGAGATTACACACATGAGCCACCACACCTAGCGACTTTTTTTCTCTATTCATATATTGTGAGTCTTTCAGAGGGTCTCTTGCTTTAACTAGATTTTCAAAAGGAGTCTTGCACCCATTTTCAGAAGCCCTACCCTACAGGAACAAGGTAGAGAGGGTAAAAATAAGCACCCACAGAGGCGGGTGAGGTTGGTCAGTTCCCAATGTGGCTGTGTAGAGTCCTTTCAATAATCAAACTGGAGCTGAGTCATGGGTGGGCTTCAGTCTGGCTGAGACATCCTGGACTCCAAACTTTCCCATCCACTCTCTGGTTGGGTGGCTCAGATCCCAGTCACCAAAAGTAGAGCCTCAAGTTACCCCTTAGGTTCAGGGACCACGCCCCTGATGCCGTCTGCAGCACACTAAGAGAGCAAGGAAGTAAAGGGAGCTTCATTTCTTCCATGAAGAACTCTGAGGCCAACCAAGTCCCCCAATCCATCATCTACTTAGCCCCTGATAATGCTCCATAAATACTTCTTATGGTGAAAAGACCAGTCATTGCTCATGGTCATTCTGTGTGAGGTGAGCTAAGAAATACCGAGATGAAGGACTTTGCTATTGCTTGTTCATATTCTGGGGTTTATGGTTACAAGAAGATGAGCAGAAGCCCAGTTTAGTGGAAAGGGGGTTCTCTCCATCCTGAAGAAAGCAAGCTTGCAGCCAGGCAGGCCCCTTCATCCAAACTGTGTGACCTTGGGCAAGTCAACCTGGCATCTGGCTTCAACAGAACATGGACCGTGTCTTAACACCTACCAGCGATCGAGCGTCCCTCTGGGCCAGACACTGTGCTGTGTGCTTCCATGCCTGCTGAGGCAGTTTTAAAATGCGTCGACGAATTCCTTGACACTCCTTCTAGGTAGAAGAGAGAACTTGTCCTCCCTTCTTGAACCTGTTTTCTGTTTTGTTTTGTTTGTTTTGTTTTGTTTTTTTCGAGACGGAGTTTCACTCTTGTTGCCCAGGCTGGAGTGCAGTGGCACGATCTGGGCTCACTGCAACCTCTACCTCTGGGGTTCAAGCAATGCTCCCACCTCAGACTCCCAAGTAGCTGGGATTACAGGTGAGCACCACCACACCCAGCTAATTTTTTGTATTTTTAGTAGAGACGGGGTTTCACCATGTTGTCCAGGCTGGTCTCAAACTCCCTGAATCTGAACCCACCTGAGTGAGTCACATTCAACCAAAAGAATGCAGCAGAAGTGACACTACCTGACATCCAAGGTGCAGTCAGCAAGGACCAGGTGGCTTCCACTTCCGTGAGAAAGTCTGAACACCCTGAGTCTGCCAAGCTAGAGAGGCCACATTCTGATTTTTCAGTGGACAACAGCTGAGGTCCCATCCAAAAGCAGCATCAACTGTGGGTCACAGGAGTGTGCCAAGCTGGACATCCTGCCTGACCTGCCTTCCGTTACCGGTAGCCCAGCCACCATCTGATGGTCAGCAAGAACTGCACAGCTGAGTCCTTCCAAATAGCATGACCCACCAATCACAGACAAAATAAAAGTGCCTCCCTGGTGCTTCCTGCTTCCCCTTGCACACAACGGCGACCAGCAAAGGCCTGGTCTTTTCACCACAAGCAGCATTTATGGGACATTACTGGGGGCTAGCAGATTGCAACTGTAGGGAACTTGGGGACTTTGATGGTCTGGGAGCTCTTTGTGGAAGTGTATACTTCCTTCCTCTGCTAGAAGACTCCCAATGTGTTGTTGGGGAAAGTTGTCGCAGGTGAGCCACTTTGGCTGGCCTGGATTTAACATCACACACAGAGAACAGATGGGATAGTTTGGAAGCCAGGTTGTCCCAGCCAGCCCAGCTTAAGCTTGGGAGTCATTTGTTATGCAGCAATAATAATCAGTACACACACGTTACCTCATTTCATCCTTGCAACAGGCCTGGAGGTAGGCTCTGTAATGACTTCCTTTTTACAGATGAGGAAACAGACACTCCTCGGTCGAGTAGAAAAGCCCTGGAGCTGCTCAGCGCGGCAGCCTGGACCCCAGCTCCTGGGCCTGTTTCCATCCATGGACCCTGGTCCCCTGTGTGTTGATTCATCCTTGTATGCCTAGTGCTTGGCATACAGCAAACACTTAACAAATGTTTTAGTTGCATAAACAAATCAACAGATCAAAAGCTGAATAAGTAAATGAGTCTCTGGGCCTCAGTTTCCCATTCTGCAAAAGAGAGCAGGTGGATCAGATGCTGTCTCCTGGAATCCCTTCTATCTCTACAATTCCACACTTCTAGGAGCAGCTCTCCTCATACCTGTCATAGAGTCACTCCAGCTGGCTTTCAGAGATCTTCAGAATCTGACCCCTACTCCAGCCCCCTAGACTTTTAGACCCTTGCCCACTTCTTCCTTGCTTCAGCCCAGAAAACCCTTCTTCCCAACAGATTCAGGTCCCATTCTCTCTACGAGGTCTACTTTTACCCTCTCCATAAAGCCTACTCTGCCCCAGTCCCAGCTCCAGCCCCTTTGGCTCCTAGGAAGTTCAGAACTTGTTTGAATACATCTTGAAGACTGAAGCAAAGTCCAAAGAAAGAGTTGTTCTATAAAAAACCAGGGCCTAGATGGTTTCAAACAGCAATGGCACTCTCAAGCCTTTCTTTGTAGGTGGTTGAGCTTTTATGTGTGTTTCTCAAATTTCTGTGCTTTGCATATTATCTTGACAATGTTCCCCAAACCTTGATACGAGCCGTTCTGCTATTCAGTTAATATTTCCTCTTTAATCAGCCTTAACTCCCCTCCCTTCCTTGCTTCCTTCTTTTCTTCCTTTCTTAGAACTCAGTCTCATTCTGAGCAATAACATCTATGAAATCACAGGACTGATGTGTCCATGGGTCTGTGCACCATCTAAAACCTGTAATTCCCATGATTTAGAAGGCCAGGACATGAGGATTGCTTGAGACCAGGAGTTTGAAACCAACCTGGGCAACATAGTGAGATTCCGTCGCTACAAAAAATTAGCTGGGCATGGTGGTATGCACCTGTAGTCCAGCTACTTCAGACGCTAAGGCAGGAGGATTGCTGGAGCTCAGGAGTTCGAGGCTGCAGTGAGCTATGATTGTGCCACTTCATGCCAGCCTGGATGGCAGGGAAAGACCCTGTCCTAAATAAATAAATAGTTTTTATTAAAAAAAAAACTCCTTTGTCACCAATCTAAGGGTTCTTCAATTTGGGGAAATATTAGTTTTTAGGATTAGATTTTTTTTAAGACACAGATTGATTAACCTTTCTAAATAAACTTGGCACACCCTTTAATTGGTCTGCTTGAGACAGGATGTTTAAATGACTTTATGCTTTGTGCTTTCCCATAGCTCCCAAATTTTTATAATAAGCAGTGATTGCTCCTGTAACTAGAAACCATTAAAAAATGTTGGAAAATAAAGAAGACATCATCTGCGTTTTCCAAACACAGGGAGTTGGGCCAAGAGGTAGATGGGGGAACAGCCAGACATTTGCCAAGCAAATCCAAAAGTTATTTCTGTGGAATAAGTGCAAGGTAATGCTTAACTCTCTGTAATCCCACCTCACTCCCTTCTACCAATTGTTGGAATTAGAGGATATTTCATCCCTCCTGCTTTTCTCCCATAGCCAGCTGTCACCGGGTGTGTAGGGGACAGGAAACAGAATTACAAGATTAGCAGTGAGCCTGCCGTTCCTGCCTGGCTGTTATCAAGGCTGACTCTGGAGAGCCATATTCCCCACTTGTCACTACTGACTGCAACCTGGGGGTTGGGAGAATGACCCAAAATAAATTCTGAACAAGGGCAAAATTGGGAGTACTGGGGAGCTTTCCTCCAAATTAGTTAAATTTTACTGAACATATAGACTAGGAATCAAGCACTCTATAGGCATTTGCTCATATAATTTTTACAGGAACCCTAGAAAGTAGAGGCTATACTTATCTATGCCCCTCCTGCAGATGAGAATACTGAGGTTCCATGAGGTTAAATCACTTACCCCAGGGCTCATACTGATAAATGTAGAACAAGAATTGACCCCAGGTTTGTCTGACTCCAAAGCCTTCTGTGGGAACCACTCTTCTTCACTCTTTCTCCTTCCCCAAGGACATGTCCAGAGACCTTGGCCAATGACCTCATCTACTCCCCCAACTTCATCAGTGGTTAGTTCAGCCCTCTGGTTTCCAGGGCAACTGCTAACATGGCCACAAAGACACACATGGCTCTTAGGCTGAGAGGTTTGACTCAACATGTCAATTACTGACTTTCTACCAATGACTAGCCACACTTTTCCTCCATTCCATCTGCAAAGTTCCTACCCATCAAGGACACCTAGTCCAGGCCTCAAGCAATCTGCAATACCTTGACAGATGGTTAGGACAGCCAATTCAGGCCAAAGAAGAGTCATCTGCCTAAATATATAAACAGTTGTGTGACCAGCCTGGGCAACCTGGGGAGATCCTGCCTCTACAAAAATACAAAAATTAGCTGGATGCGGTGCTGTGTGCCTGGACACCCAGCTCCTTGGGAGGCTGAAGCCAGAAGACCACCTGAGCCTGGAAGGTTGAGGCTGCAGTGAGTCATGATCGCACCACTGCCCTCCAGCCTGGGCAACAGAGCGAGGCCCTGTCTCAATCAATCAATCAATCAATAAGTAAGTACACAAACAAATGAACATGTGTTTAGAACTTTAGGAGAGTTGGCCAGGGGCTGTGGGTAATGTCTGTAATCCCAGCACTTTGGGAGCCTGAGGCAGGTAGATCACTTGAGTCCAGGGGTTCTAGGCCAGCCTAGGCAGCATGGTGAAACCCTGTCTCTACAAAAAATACAAATTTAGGCTAGGCGTGGTGGCTCACGCCTGTAATCCCAGCACTTTGGGAGGCCGAGGCGGGTGGATTGCCTGAGGTCAGGAGTTTGAGACCAGCCTGGCCAACATGGTGAACTCCGTCTCTACTAAAACACGAAAATTAGCCAGGCGTGGTGGTGAACGCCTGTAATTCCAGCTACTCAGGAGGCTGAGGGAGGAGACTCTCTTGAACCCGGGAGGCCAAGGTTGCAGTGAGCGGAGATCGTGCCACTGCACTCCAGCCTGGATGACAGAGGGAGATTCCGCCTCAAAAAAGTAATAATAATAAAATAAAAACATACAAATTTAGTTGGGTATGGCAGTGCATGCCTGCAGTCCCAGGTACTTGGGAGGTGGGAGGATCATCTGAGCCTGTGGATGTCAGGGCTGCAGAGACCTGAGATCGTGCCACTGCACTCCAGCCTGAGCGACAGAGTGAGACCCTGTCTCCAAAAAAAAAAAAAAAAAAGAGCTTTTAGAAAAGACTCCCTTGATGACTGACATCTGACATCTGAGCTCTCACACACCTGCACATGCCCACCTGTCTCTACTTTCATAGCTGGCTGTCATCTGTCCAATCATCTTCCAAAGTTCCAGGCCTGGGTCGGACACAGAAAAGCCTGGAGGGCAACTGGTAAAGTTTGAGGGGCTGATTCCCAGGAGGGGTCCTGGGGGAGACATGGGCTGACCACACAGTCTATGGCCAGGGAAAGCTTCTTGAAGGAAGGAAAAGCTACAAGGAGACTCAGTGATGGTTGGGAGATGGCCTGGTGAGAAGGAGGGAAAAGAGTTTGACACAGACGAAATGTGTGTTCGAAGGGCCAAAAATAAAGGAAAGAACACAGGTTTGAAGCCTTTCCTTTAGCATGATTGACACATATTAGGGGGACACTGGTGAAGGACAAACCTAGGGGGGTGGCCAGGCCAGATGGGAAGGTCATGGCTAACCAGGCAAAAGAGTCCAAACCTTATAGTGATGGCAACAGGAGACTTGGACATGTTCTCCACTGCAAAGAGAACTTGCCTGATTTGTGTTTTACAAAGATCTCTTTGGTGGCTGCCTAAAGAAAGTCCCTGGAGGAGACCAGAACTGAATTTGGGTCTCCATTAGTTAGGAGGCTGGTGGTGGCTAGAATTAGCACCCTGGCAGAAGGGGGCTGAATTCCGAGTTATGCTGGAAGGTATAATCAGTAGGAGGTGGTAACTGGTAAAGTTTGAAGGGATGATTCAACACACCTTAAATCTATTATTCACCCCCTGCCCTTGACCTTGTAAAAAGGAGGGAAGAAGTAAGAGATGATGAAACCCTTTGATTGCAGGTGGGAATGGGTGATCTCCCTTCAGCTCCCACCTGCACAGCAGGAACTTTGCCTGTAGGACTGAGAGGTGACTTTGTGTGGCAATGACTAAGCCACCTTAACGGCAAATCACCATCAGAATGGGATAGGAACAGAAAGTTGGCACTCTGAGCCCAGGGCCGTGAATTATTGAACCTCTTTCAGCTAAAACATGATATTTGTTGTCATCTTTTCCACTGACCCTATGGCCCAATCAATTTCAAAATGTAGATGCTTAAAACCAAAAATAAATTTTAAATAACAAACTCAGAACTTGCCTATTTTAGCCACAAAAAGTACCTTGTGAGTCCACAATCTTGAAGGAAACCAATTTATGAAAACAGGAATGTGTGCACAGATGTACCACACTCCTTGTTTTTTTAATGTTTGGAAACAGGGTCATTCTCTTGTTTTTTTTTTTTAATATTTGGAGACAGGGTCTTGCTATGTTGTCCCAACTGCAGTGCAGTAGTGTGATCATAGCTCACTGCAGCCTCAAATTCCTGGGTTCAAGAAATCCTCCTGCCTCGGCCTTCTGAGTAGCTGGGGCTGCAGGAACATGCCACCTGGGCTAGCATTATTTTTTAAAAAGCTTGCAAAATTTGACCTGATAAGCCCGCTATCTAAAAACAATTTTTCCATTGCATGTATTTCTAAACCTAATATTAAAACCACAGATTTAAGGTCTTTCTCCCTTTATGTTCTTAGGTCTCTTATCTTTCTTTGAATGAATATATCTGTCTATCTGCCTGACTCTCCCTTTTCACATCTTCCAGAAAGGATAAGGAAAACATCCAAAAGGATCTCATTTTATTTTGAAACACTAAACCCACCAAACAGAAAAAAAGAAAACACACACACACACACACACACACACACACAACACACACACACAAACCTTCTTGGTCAGAGGGATCAAGATGTATTTCTAATTCGCTTGCCATATGGTAAGTTATTTTGGAAGCACATCAAGAGGTAGAGAGAATGTTCCACAAAATTGGCAATGCTTGTACAATCCTTTCAAATCAGACCAAATTCCCACTATGTACATTTGCTACAGCCCGTTCTATTCATCATATCAGCAACTATGACC
The DNA here is from genome assembly GCF_000001405.40 of Homo sapiens. Taxonomy (NCBI): domain Eukaryota; kingdom Metazoa; phylum Chordata; class Mammalia; order Primates; family Hominidae; genus Homo; species Homo sapiens. Next base: position 114,384,957 of record NC_000012.12, read on the forward strand.
ACAGGATATGTAAAAATACCGAGCAATTTTTAGCACCAGCTTCCAATCCTCCAGTGCCCTGGACACCACATGGTGTCAAGTTTGTCTGTATTTCACCCTCAGGAAATCAAGTCATTAACTTCTCTTTCATTTACCAAGAGCTGTTGCCAAAAAAAAAAAAAAGCATTCATCGGCTGTGACTTATGGGAAGAAAAAGAGAAAGGGTTTCCCTACAGGGAGAGAGACAGCAGAGAAAGAAGAGAAAGCTGTGCCTTTTGTTCCCTGGGAGAATGGAGAATGCCGAACTCTTCGTACCTTCTCTCCACTAGAAAATGTATTCTCCAGGTTGCCCAATGGCGCCAACCACATGTGAAGGTTATCAGAAAATGGGACAGAGGGGGCTCATTCTCCCCATTTCCATGTGCCTGGCATTCTACGGGCAGGAAGGCTGGTGGAGGGAGGTGCTGGGTTGCTGCTGGCTTACCTGGGTAATTTGAGGGGTATGTGGGGAGGAGAAAGTTGAGGAATCCACTTTCCTACCTTTGCATTCTTGACATTCTGTGCAGCTCCATGTCATCACTGCCCCGAAATCCTTTGGCAAAGGGATTATTCTCAATCTTTAATTGCGTGATCTGAAGGAAAGAGGAAGAGAGAACAAGCTGGTTTTCACTTGATTGCTGCAAGACCACCTCAGGACATGAGCTAATAATAAATATCATGGAAATGCAGCCTCTGGCAACCAAAAGAAGCAAATTAAGCCAGTCACGTCAACGGGACCCACCACTTCATTCAAGTGGAGGCTTTGAAAAATGTCCTCCATTGGACTGCTTTTAAAAGGGGAAAAACACCTGGGTTTGGTTTGCCCATTAATTGGAGTCATACTCTGCATCATTCCAGCTGGGTTCTTTTTTTTTTTTTTCCAATCTTGCATTTTGTGTTTTAAACACCATCTAGGCCTCAATACTCAGTACTCCCTCCCCTTTGGAAAGCTGTGCATGTTGACATGATCGTTGCACATCAGGCAGCGTAGTCATCTCCATTGGAAGGGTTGACCCCATCGTGTGTTTCTGCAGAAAACATGTCTTGATTATTGCATTCAAAAATTCTATTATGCCTCATTTCATGTTCATTTCATAGTTTTGCAGATAGCGTTTCCTAGTTCTGGTGGAAAATGGTGCCTAATGAAATAAACGCCAATATACATAATGATAACTTATATAATAGCTATTGAACAGCACCAAACCTCTTTAATGTCCTAAGCAAAGAAGAGAGGTTTCTCTCTTGGAAATCTGTGTTGCAACATACAAGGCATAGTTACAGAACAGGGTCTTTTTGCACGTTTTGGTTCCAGGCCCAGAACTTTAATTTAATCCATCAACGCATTATATTAGTGTGAATGTACAGTAGCAGACCCAGGTGACAGAAGGCAACCATACGGAGTTTGCCAGAAGTATTTCCTAAAAATTGCGTGTGAACTGAATTTTCATAGAGAACATAGAGAATCATGTTATAGACATGAGAGCAGCATGACTCAAACTTCAGTCATTCAAGGTTTTCTTTCACTATTATTGCCATATCTATACAGCACCTGTACACTGGCTTAATATTTTTATTTAAATCAAACCACTTTTAATTTGCACTTATTTCACACAAATATGATATCACTTCTTTGTATGACAAACTAGAATCACTTGCTACTCAATAAGAAGAAAATAAATATATGTAATTGTCTTTACTCATATCCAAAGCTTGCCTTCTCTTTGTTGCAAGTGGAAATTAGACACTTTTAGAGAACTAGTTAACACAAACCAGTACTGAACTGAGACTCCCTCTCTAATAGAAGACTAGAAAGATAATTTTAAAAAGAACAACTTTCAGCCAGCCATGGTGGCTCATGCCTGTAATCCCAGCACTTTGGGAAGCCAAGGTGGGTGGATAACTTGAGATCAGAAGTTCAAGACCAGCCTGGCCAACATGGTAAAACCCCATCTCTACAAAAAATACAAAATTTAAAAAAAAAAATAGCCTGGCATGATGGCAGGCTCCTATAATCCCAGCTACTCCAGAGGCTAAGGCAGGTGAATCACTTGAACCCAGGCGGCAGAGATTGCAGTGAGCCGAGATCACACCACTGTACTCTAGCTTGGGCAACAGAGCAAAATTCCGTCTCAAAAAAAAAACAAAAAACAAAAAAACAAACAAACAAAAAACACTTTCTCTGTGATTTCATCATATTCAAGTATCCCTAAAAATCATCTCGAGTCTTTCCCAGTAGTATAGTTACAGATTTGAGAAACTGTGCTTGATAAATGAATGTACCCTCTAATTTCTTCATTTGAAGAGAGGAATTCTTATCTATTCTGCCTTCTGGAAGAGATGACCTATGAGGTTTACCTCTAACCCCAAAATTATTGAAAATAAAATTATTATATGTATGTGCACCTATGTGTATTCACCATAAAAAATATACATACAATTAATATTTTAAGATATATGATTCCAACTATACAACACTCTAGAAAAAGCAAAACTACGGAGTCAGTTAAAAGGTCAGTGGTGGCCACAGGTTGGAAAGAGGGAGGGATGAATAGGCAGAGCCCAGAGGATTTTTGGGTTTGTGAAACTACTCCCTATGATACTATAAAGGCAGGTACACATCATTATGTATTTGTCCAAACCCATGGAATGTACAACACCAAGAGTGGGCCCTAAGGTGAACTATGGACTCTGGGTGATGATGATGTGTCAGTGTAGGCTCATCAACTGCAAAAAATGTTCCACTCTGGTACAGGATGTCCATGGTGGGGGTGGCTGTGCATGTGGTGGGGAGAAGCTATAGGGGAAATCTTGGTATGTTCTGCACAACTTTGCTGTGAAACTAAAACTGCTCTAAAAAATGAAGCCTTTTTGTTTTGTTTGGATATGGGGTCTCAATCTATCACCCAGGCTGGAGTGCTGCAGTGCGAACATAGCTCACTGCAGCCTCAAACTCCTGGGCTCATGCAATCCTCCTGCCTCGGCATCCCGAGCAGCTGGGACCACAGGCATGCACCACCATGCTGGGCTAATTTTTTTATTTTTATTTTTAGTTTCAGTTCAGATGAGGTTTTGCCATGTTGTCCAGGCTGGTCTGGAACTCCTGAGCTCAAGCAATCCTCCTGCCTTGGCCTCCCAAAGTACAGGGATTACAGGCTGAGCCACTGTGCCCAGCCAGGTTTTTTGTTGTTGTTATGGTTTTTTGAGACGGAGTCTCACTCTGTCACTCAGGCTGGAGTGCACTGGCACGATCTCGGCTCACTGCAACCTCCACCTCCCAGGTTCAAGCAATTCTCGTGTCTCAGCCTCCCAAGTAGTTGGGATTACATGTGCCTGCCACCACGCCTGAGTAATTTTTGTAGTTTTAGCAGAGAAGGGTTTTAACATGTTGGCCAGGCTGGTCTCAAACTCCTGATCTCAGGTGATCTGCCTGCCTCAGCCTCCCAAACTGCTGGGATTACAGGCGTGAGCCACCATGCCCAGCTGAGCCAAGTATTTTTAAAAATTATTTATTTACTTATTTTGAGACAGGGTCTCACTCTGTTACCCAGGCTGGAGTGCAGTGGAGTGACCATAGCTCACTACAACATTGACCTCCCAAGCTGGAGTGATCCTCCCACCTTGGCCTTCCAAAGTGCTGAGATTATACACATGAGCCACTATTCCTACCCTAAAGTTTATTTTAAAATATTTTTAAAGTATCCGTGTGTGTGTGTGTGTGTGTGTGTGTGTGTGTGTGTGTGTGTACACATTCTCCCTCCCTCAACCTTTTTTTTTTTTTTTTTAGGTTTTCGGAGTGACAGAGTCTCACTATGTTGCCCAGGCTGGTCTTGAACTCCTGGGCTCAAGCAATCCTCCAGCTCTTGGCCTCCCAAATTGTTAGGATTAAGGTGTGAGCCACCACACCCAGCCCATTTTTGTTTAACTGTGTCTATTCCTGTAGCTTTCAGATTTTTTATTTATATTTTATTTTTTGAAACAGAGTCTCACTCTGTCACCCAGGCTGGGGTGCAGTGGCGCGATCTTGGCTCACTGCAAACTCCGCCTCTCAGGTTCAAGTGACTCTCCTGCCTCAGCCTCCCGAGTAGCTGAGATGACAGGTGCCCACCAACACACCTGGCTAATTTTTGTATTTTAGTACAGACAGGGTTTCACCATGTTGGCCAGGCTGCTCTTGAACTCCTGGCCTCAAATGATCCACCCACCTCGGCCTCCCAAAGTGCTAGGATTACAGGCATGAGCCACCACGCTTGGCCTCAGATTTTTTCTTGACTCTTCTGAATGAGTAGAAAAATCTATAAAATCCTTTTGGAAAGTCATCTTAAGATGTGTACTCCTGTATTCACTTGTATTTTAAGAGTCTAAAAACCCAACATCTAATGGGACTTTTCTTTCTCACTCAGCTTTTATCACAATGAAATTTCACCCAGTTGACCATAAATCATCTCTTAATGGACTTGCAAAAAGTTAAGGAGAAATAGATCATTTAAAAGTGGATGAAGGCCGGGCGCGGTGGCTCACGCCTGTAATCCCAGCACTTTGGGAGGCAGAGGCGGGCGGATCACGAGGTCAGGAGATCGAGACCATCCCGGCTAAAACGGTGAAACCCCGTCTCTACTAAAAATACAAAAAATTAGCCGGGCGTAGTGGCGGGCACCTGTAGTCCCAGCTACTTGGGAGGCTGAGGCAGGAGAATGGCGTGAACCCGGGAGGCGGAGCTTGCAGTGAGCCGAGATCCCGCCACTGCACTCCAGCCTGGGCGACAGAGCGAGACTCCGTCTCAAAAAAAAAAAAAAAAAAAAAAAAAAAAAAAAAAAAGTGGATGAAGGACACCTTTTCCTCCCACCTCCCAGCCTGCCCCACCGCAGTCTCAGAAGTAAATGTCGAAGATGGTGAGGCTGTGACACCAGAATTTAGTGAGGATCTCAGCATGAGAATTAGTGCTCAGTCCATGATGTCCATGCTCCACCAAGAACTCAGAACAAAAAATTGCCCCAAGGAAAGAAGAAAAGGGTGAATTTTATGTTATCAGCAAAAACCTTTTGCTCAAATCCATTCCTTGCACCTCAAACAGATTGGCTGTTACCCAATCTTGCACTTACCATCATAGCTTGCAAAAATATGATTGCACAGGATAAGCACAATTTCTTATATATTCACTTAGGTATGTTGATCTTTACACGTAACTTCTTTTGGAAACTGATTATAGATGCCTATATGACCTAAGAATTACCCTTGAGAAATGTCAACATACAACATACATTGTCTGCAGGTCAAAATATCTGTCCACTCACATACTGTAACCATGTTTATAAAGTTCCCTTCCTAATATGCTGTGTGTTAGATCATGGGCACACAAACTGATACACCTGGATTTCCCAGTTCCACCAAAAGGCTTCACTGAAACTGACTTCTATTCACCATGCAAATGTACTCCCTTCAAAATCAACATAAAACCGGATATCCGGGAGAGATTTGGGAGTGGGGGAAAAACAAACATAAATACCAGCTCCAACTGAGACAGAGGTTGTAAAAATTAATGAGAATAATTGTTGTGAATTCTTGCTTTTGAAAAAAATTTTTTAAAACCCTCACGAGGACCAAAAATCTTAATTATGTCTCTCTATTAAGGGTTCATTTCCTGGTCTGAACCAGAAAGCTCATACCTCATAAATATAGACTCCTTACACAATGATTTAAGCAGGAGGAAAATGCCTTTTAATGGCAAAGTTAAGTTAATATCTGGGGATAGACATTGCTTGCATACACAGCCATTGTTGCAAGAACAGGGAAATGAAATGCCCACGTGACCTTTTTTTAACACCTAAATATTTCTAGGGATTGCACTGGGAGCTGCTGACAACTGCAGTGAAAACTTTACAAAAACGTGTTTCACAGAATGAACGTCGCTGGGGAAGATTTGAGTTTTTAAATATCTTTTTTAAGCTGTCAACCATCTGGGGAAATAAGTCCCAAATCCAGCCCGAGATCACAGCTGGGCTGAGGAAATGTGTCTCGTCATTAGGGGCCCAGTGGTATATGGGTATGTGATTGCAGCCTAAGAAATGAACCATGTAGCCTACCTACCTCCACCTGGTACCTACATCCAAATAGAGACAGATCATTCTGAAGGCACTGGGCCCTTTGACCATAAAAACGGTGGCCCTTATTTTTCCAAATTGTCTTGGCAATTTAATCACATGCATTGCTTTTCTTTTCCCTGCTCATTTATCCAAGGCAAAACGCTAGACAAATAGTCCTTGAATTGATAACATGATCAGGGAATGAGCCAACTAAACCACAAAGACTAATATTTGCAGTTGTTTTTCAACCACAGGAATAAGAACTTATTTAAATTCCCAGTCTTTCAGATTCTAAACTAGCCAGGAAGTTAGAATGAGTAAACAAAGAGTTTTCCGAAGTCTGTGTTTTGGATGGAGTCGCCCTGTTAATAAACTGATCTGCTAAGTAGTCAATCAATGGTCCATCAATCATTACTAATGCTCTGTGCTAGCTCTCTGCCAGGTCCCACATGACACACTTGCCGGGAATTATCTCATTGAATCTTCACAACAACACTATGAGGTGAGTTCTCTTATTATCCCCATTTTACAGGTGGGGAAATGGAGTTAAGTCATTTGCCCAAAGTCAGATAGGTTTGAACCCAAGCAGTCAGCTTCCACAGTCCTCCACCTTAACCCTATGCGATGGTGAGCTCAGCTGGCTTCTACGCATGAAGTCAGAAGTCTCAACACCCAGTCCAGGTGGGACAATAAAGTAGCAAGACTGAGTCCACAAATCACATGCAACCCTGGCCCGCTTATTTAAATCACACATCATATATCCACGTGGGAAATGTTTGCAGGGGCCCTGCACTTGACTGGGAAAGTGCACAGTTTTGGATTTGCTCCTGAAAAAGAAAATAGGTGTCTTTGGTGCTCTAAAGGAAGAAGTGGGGGAGGGTAACAGAAAGTTGTCTCCCATGAAATTTCTCTCCCGGATGTCAAGGAATCTGTCAGGCTGGCTAAACAGAACATTATGCACAGCTCAACTGGGCTCCCTGACTCAATCAATACAGAAAAAAAAGCAATTATTGTGTGTGAACACTTAGTGTGGCCGTGAAATACGCATATATCCAAATGCGTATTTGGAGACACACATTCTTAGACCTGTGAGCATTCAGACACACGATTCCCTGGATTGCGCTAAAAAAAAAAAAAAAAAAAAAATCACACATACACACCCCATTGGGCAGGCAGGCATTCATGCACATCAATCACTAAATACGTGTATTGGGGAAGAAATTTTTTAAATAGCAATGTAAAGGGTGTTGGGCATATTCACAAATGGCTGCAGTGACAGTTTCACAGGTATACATATATATACACATGAAGCTTATCTAGTTGTCTGTTTCAAATATGGCAGTTTATTAGATGACAATTATGCCTCAATAAGGCTGTCAACAGAAAGAGGGAGAGAGGGAGTGAGTTTTCCCACATCTATCCACACCTGATGAGTCTTAAGAACATAACTACACAGAATTTAGGGTGTTTCTTCCAAAGGACCTGAGAATTCAGATGGTTTTTTAAGCCGGTCACTTTTATATGTCTACCCTTTCCTATCCTCCTGTATGAACCTGGGCTTTCTTGGGGTAGAGGGGGAAAAGATCTCATATATTTTTGGACCCCAGTCTGGTCTGAGAGCATGTAAGTATATACATATATAGGAAGAATTGAGCTTCCTTATTGCTATTTTTTTTTTCCTGTGACCGTCACCGCAAAGCTAAACACAGGTTTACAGCAGCCATTGAGGGAAACAGGTTTCAAGGAGACAGACTCAAATTGGCCTGAAATAGTTTTGCATCTTTCAGGGCATTCGACCCTCGGTTTTGCTCTTGCTGGTTCAACAGGTGGAAGGATACTCGGAAAAATCCTCCTACCCATTTAAAAAGGAATGGTGTCTTGAGGGGAATGAGTTTTCTTTCCGAGGGCAGGAAGCTCTCTCTCGACCTGGGTTCCCAGACAGGCTTTGTGGCCTGGAAAGGACTGTCTATCACAGCTTGGCCTGTTCACAGACAATCTGGATTTGGAGATTAGCCACAGCATTTTGGAACAGTCCCGGCCTCAGTTGGGGTATTCTCTGCCAAGCCAGCCTGCACTGGAATGACCTTCGAGGGGTGAGGGGAGGATTTGGGGTGCTAAGCCTTCCTCTCATCCTTCTCCGGCCTCTCCTGTCCAGTCCCCAGCTCCTGCAGTTCCCCCTCCACCCCAGCCTTGCTGGTGGGGACTGTAGCTAAGAAAAGGGAGGGGCACACCATCTCCACATCCATCTAGGTGACCTGCCCTCACAGATCCCATATGGACCCCCCTCCCACTTTGCCCTTCCAGAGCCTTCTAAGCCCAAATCACTGCTTAATACTCCTAACAGTCTACAACCGCACGAGGGCAGGGGCCCCTCCCCCAGCACCTATTGCTCGCCTCTCCAGATTCTAGAACTTTTCATACCAAGGCTTAGAACATTAAATCCCTCCTGCCACCCACAATAAAATGAATCCACATGCACTCGGGTATCTAAGGAACAGAGGTGAATCCTGACAAGTCGAGACAAACTTTCTCCTGAGGAAAAAGAGAAGATCCTCCCCCACCCTCCAACCTGCCGCTATAGGCAGCCTGCTCCAAAGTCATTGTCAAGCTTTGAAATGCCAAAACCAGTGCCTGGATTTTGAACCTCATGGGGTCTGACTTTCACACAATCCATGCGACAGCATACCGCCCCTACACCAAACTGCAGCCACCTTCTCCCAAGCAATGCAGGTCTGCCTCCCCTCACCAAGCTGTGGTTCTGCAGGCTCTTTGTCTAAGTCCAGCTTGGGAGTGTTATCCCAAGCTGCTGGTGGTGCAGGTTGCTCTGTTTTCATTTTAACAAGGCAAACCTTTCCCAAGAATGTGGTCTGGAGTCAGTGATTTCTGAAACAATTAGGGAAGCATCAGGAAAGTCCAATCCTAAGGATCCCGGCAACTTTGCCACCTGTGCTGTTGCCAGTTGAGTGGCAAAATTGGGTGCAGTGGCTCATGCCTGTAATACCAACGCTTTGGAAAACCAATGTGGGAGGATCACTTGAGGCCAGGAGTTCAAGACCAGTCCTGGCAACATAGAGAGACCCCGTCTTTACAAAAAACAAAAGTTAAAAATTGGCTGAGCATAATGATGGTGTGTGCCTATAGTCCCAGCTACTCCAGAGGCTGAGGCAAGAGGATCTCTTGAGCCTGGGAAGTCAAGGCTGCAGTGAGCCATGATTGTGCCACTGCACTCCAGCCTGGGTGACAGACAGAGTGAGACCCTGTCTCGGAGTGAAAAATATTAAAAAGGCAGAGAGGAGAAAACTGACCCCAGCAGAAACAGTTGCCCAGAAATGAAATGGCAGCACCAGAGCCATTAAGCAACCTTTCTTCCCACTAGGCATTTCATAAGGTCAGTGGGATGCCTTCTTGTGGTATTTGAGTGTGTGGCCCATCTATGGTTTGACAAGTTTGTTTCTAACTGGTGTGGGTGCATATGTGTGGTGGTGACTGTCAAGCCAAGCTCGTGGATATAGTAAAAACAGCTGAAACTCTTAGGCTGCAGCTTTGTCCCCACCCCAGCACCCTGGGGTCGAAGTTGGTGACTGCTGCCATTCAGAGGAGCAAAGTTCCAGCAGGAAAACCTTGCAGATTCATGCAAAAGAAAGAGCAGACGGCCCCAGGCACTGGTTCCTGGGCTTCAGGCTTACCTTGTGGTTCTGGTAGGAAGTCACTGCTATAAACGCAGTCTCAGGAAAGACGTGAGTGCAGAACGCTGTATTTTTTGAGCCAAATCCATTATTTTCATCCGCTTTCACGATGTGTAATCTAGGCTGGTATTTGTGCATGGAATTTAGAATAATCTAAAAATAATAAAGAAAATGAGATTGTAAGAAAATCAAAACTCCCTTTGTCTCCAGATAAAACCCTGCTCCCCGCCCTCTAAATTCGCCTTGTTATATCGGCTCTCGAAAAATAGATATTTTTCTTCTGTTTTGAAAAGGGGCCAGGGATTTCATTAAAAAGAAACATTTCAAAAATAACAATTTCCAACCGAAAAAGCCAGGGTAATATTCCAGGAATCTACCCAAGGCACACAGAGCAGTAAATCAGAATTCTTAATAAAGTTTGCTTAATAAATTAACTCCCTGCATAGGGCACTTCCCACCCCCAACGGGAGCTGAGCAAGTCTGGATCGAGGAATCCGCGTCTGGAGGGAAGCCTCAAGGGCACTTTTGGATTGACAGGTGGTGTAGGGGCACGGGGACAAACAAACAACAAACATAGAAATAACCCCCACTCCCCAAATCTCTAAGGGATGCAAGAGAAGATATCAAGTGTTTGGAAAACTGAAATAAGTAAAAAAAAAAATCACCAGTTCTCTGCACAGCCTTTTTCTGAGGCTTAGGGTGGGTGATCAGACCTCAAATCTGGGGCCTTTGTTTGGAGAACAAGCAAAGCAGAGTTCGTGAAAAGAGAAGATATTTGGGGGTCACGGGTGATCTGCCCTCCAAGGATGTCGGCTCATAAGGTGTGGGGAGGAAGCACCACCCACACCCCTCAAAGAAGGGGCTGGTTGCCTTGGAAACTCCCTTTCTCCAGCTTTATCACGTTTCAGGATCCACAACCAGAATTATCTCCACGCTTGGCCCCAGACAGAACGGCTACATCTGCTTTTTCGGGAATATTCTCTTTCTACTTCCTATCTTCCCCATATTTAGGGGTGTTCCCAGGGACAAGAGGGGTCCTAACTGCTGTAGTTGTGCTGTAATTTTTACAACCACCATTATCATTAGGAAGAGGAGGAGGAGGAGGACTTCCAGGCTGCACGTTCTTGCTGGAGCCAGGGCTAGTCACAGATGAGCATCCTCACCAATAAAACTGGGTTTGTTGTTCTGATGACGCTAGTATTTACCAGAACGCTCTGACACATCCCCACCGAACTTGCGAATCGCCGCGTTTAACAGCCTGAAAATCTGGCCTGCTTTTTCCCGGGAACTGCGGAGGTTGTCTCTGTGACTTTGATTATTTGCATTGATGACCCTGGGGCAAGATTCTTGGACCAACCCTGGAGTCCGGCCCCGATCGAGTGGAGGTAGTTGGGGGAGGCGAGCCGCGGCCGGGGGCGGGGGAGGGACGAGGAACTCGCGGGCCCCGCGGCTGCCCGACCCCGGGCCGCGCGTCTCTAATCTCCGGCCGCCGTGGCCCGGCCGCCTCCCCGGCCGATAGCGACGCCGACCGGGGCGGCGTGGCGACAGAGAGACGCAGCGGGGCCCCGCTGGCCGCCACAGTCCCCGGCCGGCGGGGCCATCGGCCCGGCTTAGCCAAATTGCTTTGACGGCTGGGGACAGTGTGGAGACATCAGCGCGAGGGCGATCTAATGGCTCCTAATTTCATTAGGCCGGCTCTGAATTAAAAGTCCGGAGTCTCGGGTGGGAATGCCTGGCTTCTAGGCAGTTCTGAGCAGCTCCGAGCCCCTCTCCCCAGCTGGGAACGTCCTGAAGCTGGCAGGGATGCCAGGAATTTGGTGGTGGGGTTGTGCACCTTCCGCAGGCATCCGCCCTAGAGAGACCCCAAAGGCACTCCAGAGGAGCAGAGAAAAAGCTAGGAGCTGAAATGAGCCTGGGGAACCGTCCCACTTCCCAGCGTCAAGGACCACGCAGGACCCCACCCAAGGGTCCCATCCTCCAGAAGGAGCCAGCCCAGAGATGCATGTGGAACCTTTAGAAATGGCTCCGGTTTTCCCTGGTGCTGGTAAGGCATCTGCTGGGGACTGGCAGATACACAGCCAGGGCGGGTCAGCCAATGCCTACACAAGCTGAATTTACAGAGCACCTCCTGGGAAGCCCAGCAAGAAGGACTCGTGGGCAAAACACCCGGGTTTAACAGAGTGGCTCTGCATTTGCCTGGGAATGCCTTCCGAGCGCTCCAAGCAGGCTGCACAGAGAGTGAATGATTCTTTTTCCTCTCCACCCACGTGCTGAGAGCTGCATTTACCCATCAGTGTGGACCCCTGAGATCCTCTTCCCATCCCAGATCCTGGGGACTTCAGTGCTTCAGCCCCAAGGCCTCAAAGGAGCAGATTTCTCGTTTGGACCTTCATAAACCATCCTCCCCCGCCCCCTTGACCAAATTCATTCCCTCCCAGTCCCCTCCTTTCCCTGAAATCGGCGACCATGCGCCTATCTGTTGCTCCTCTTTGAAGCTACAACCTTCCAGGACAGGGAACTCCTTTTGTAATTAGAGAGACCTAGCCGCAAATCTCTGCTCCCAAATACAAGCTGTAGGACCTTGACAAGTCACCCCCGTCCCCTGGACTCTCCTGTGCAAAAGCTATGCCTCCCGTCCGCCCCCTAGGCTGCCGTGAGAATCAAATGCCCAAGACGAATGTACCCACTTGTATGGCAGAATCATCCAGCTAAAAGTTCTAAACGTGAATACAGAATCCGTGTTCTGTTCTAGTAATTAATTATCTTCTACGATGAGATTTGGGGACATTTTTTCAAAAATCAGTGTTTTGTGTTTTGTTTTTCTTTGGGGAAGAGGGGTGATGACCCTACTAAGAATCCACTAAAACCTACACATTCTTTTGGGTGGTGAGCAGGCTGCACATTCAATACCCTGCATTCAGTTTCAGGAAATTCACCAGTCCCCTCTCTTGGGTCCAATCCAGACTCCAAGTTTAGGACCCTGGTTTACATTCGCCTGCTCTGGGCACAGTGTGGAAAGGGAGAAAGCTGGTTGTTGGAAAAAAAACAGATCTCCCCGGGAGTATCAAGCTAAAAAGTGGCACTGGCACCATAGTTCTCTTATGAGTTCATTTCCCATCTGGAAAAGAGGGGGCAGGTGAGCTGGGCTCTCCCTCTCCCCTGGAACATCCCAAAATTAAGGCAGGATTGAGAAGTGGGGAGGGAAGGTATATGGCTTTCATTGTGGTCCAGCCTCTGTGCAGTCTATACTGGGTATCCACTGGGCTAGGAGGTCCATATTTTCTGCAAGACTGAAACACAGCCCTCCACTCCTAACCACAGATCGAATTCACAGACTCTCCAGGCCTGGAATGAGCAGCTTCAATCATTCCTCCATCCCTAGGCAAAGGGAGAGGGTTTGGGCCCTAACGGCAAGGATGCAGCCCCAGACCAGGTGAGCCGGGGGCCATATCTCCAGCCACCAAGGAACGACAGACCCAGATCTGGGGAGTGTGGATCACCGGGAGGACTGCAGAGGGGCAGATGTCTGTGTAGGAGAGTAGTGGAGACAGAGGATGAAATAGTAGGAAGAAAAAGAAAGCAAAGGGAAAGCAAGTGAGAAGGTGAAAGAAGAGAAAGGAATGAGAGAATTGAGACGGAGGGGAGGAAAAGGAAGAGGAAGGAAGTCCAGATCAAGAAGGTAGAGGCAGAAAGCGACGAAAGTGGGGGAAAATGGAGGAAAGAAAAGGAGAAATGTAGGCACACAGAGCCAAGAAGGGAGAGAAACCCAGTGAGAAGAAGGGAGAGAGGACAAGAGGGAGACAAGGCGGGGAATCCAGGCCACGGTACTCACATGCCCAAATGGGTCCAGGTGGTTGTTGGTGAGCTTGAGTTTCTGGAAGGAGACGAGCTGCCTCATCCAATGCGCCCCGGTGGCGGGGGAGTCTGGGTGCACGTACAGGCGGCCAGGCATGGCGGGCTCAGCTTTGCCCGTCACAGACCTAGATGAAGGAGAGGTGTACTAGAGGCCTGGCTCAGAGTCTGGAGGTAGCGCACTGCACCGAAGCGTGCTTCAGTTCACGCACCAGGTGAGGGTTGTTGAGTAGTAGCTGGGAATAATCTGGAGGCTCTCCCGTCTCCCTTAGGTATCTGCAATCCCAGCTGCCCCAGAATACTTTGTGCCTGCGCCCAGGCAAGCCCCTGGCCCAGCCCTTTCTTCTTACAGCCTCTCGCATCCCACAAAAAAGTGGCGGGTTCTGGAGGTCTGGACGTGCAAAAAGCCTTGAAAATTCCTTGAGGGCTTTCAACGGGGGTTTCATCGTCAGGCCCCTGCACTGCTGGCAGCCATGGGAACGATTCTACCCAAGAAATGGGCCTCTCCTAACTGTTTAACTCGAATACCACGAGTCGATTTTGCAATTTCATAAAAATGCATGTTCAAAGCAGGTAACTCATAAAAAATAACTGTAAATGGTTTTATGCCCCCAGAAATACCTCCAGCACTTGGTAACAATACCCTTTGTAAAAATCCACAACCTGTGGGTGCAGCAATAGACACAGGCACCTCACTTCCTCTGAGCCTCCGCTTTCTCATCTGGAAAACCGGAGCTAATTGTTGTAGTTTCTTTGTCTGAGAATGGTTAGTAAAAAGCAATGGGATAGGCGGACAGACGCCTTTAGCACACAGTAGGAACTAAAAAAAAAAAAAAAGTTCACTGATACAACTTTTCAACTTTTTGGGAGAAGGTTCCACTTTTCTCTCTCCCCGCTCCACCTGCCACCCCAGTGCCTACCATTTATTATCTGCGAATTTGTATCTGTGATCGTCGGCAGGTACAATGTCCATGAGAAGAATGTACTTCGTTTTGGGATTAAGGCCCGTCACCTTCACTTTGTAACTGGGAAACATCCGCCTAAGAGAGAGGGACGGAGGGAGAGAGGGGGGCGGGAATTAATGCCAGTATTTTAAGGCAGCCTCCATCCATTTTAAGGGAAAAAGCAATTCCTGGAGAAACGTGGAAGCGGAAACTAGCCCCGTTCCGCTCTCCGCAAGATCCATCCCGGGTTTCCCTTGAAGTTATAGGGAGGAGAAAGGCGAAGGGAGGAGGTAACAGCAGGCGGGCAACTGTAGGTAACCTAAGCGGAAAACAAACCAGGACGCATGCGCCTCTAGAGAACGGGTTTTGAAGATGCTTCAAAGGGACCTCCATTTCAACTCTTGCTAACCGCCCTTTTCGGAGCCAGACACCTATTATTAATATTTGTGGGGAGAGGAGGCTTATTAGGTACAATGCTAGGCGCTGATCCTAGAGGATCTGTCTAGCCAGGTGCTTCCGCCGATCCTCGCGTTGCTAAGGTGTCACGTGTACACAAGGTGTGTGCGCCCCAGAGATGCACACGCGTGGGTGCGCCCAGGCTTCCCGACCTTGCTTTGGTCCTCTGCCGCTGGAGGAAGGGGAAGGCCGCGGTTCCCAGTATAACTCGGTTAATGACCTCTGACATGGGTCTCTAGCAGGAGTTTATTCCTGAATGCCCCCACAACTTCTCCAAGGCCCCTGAAACTCTTCCTCGGAGAGTCGAAATTCCTTGGCCTTCAGCAAAGAAATTCCAGACCCTTCCAGATCTGGTTTCAGAAAAAGCTGAGGCCTGAACTAAGATTCAGTCGTTATCAAGCCGATGGCCCGGAACTGTGCCGTCTCTGCTGCCTTTCTGCGCCCTGGCGCACTCCAAATTTCCCTCCACCTTCTGAGGAACATGCCCCAGAAAGCAAAGATTCTCAAGGCTGGCCCGGGGCGAAAAGACAAGTTGGCAGATCTCGGCTCACTCAGCGATGGCGGGAACGGTCGAATGGAGGCCTCTCCCTCCGAGCCCCGGAGCCAAAGCCTCGCAGTGTTTATCAGCCTGAGCGAGCGCGCCCGGAGGCGGAGGCGCAGAAGACTTCGCAGGCCTTTTATAGTTAAATCCTCACGGCTCAGGCTCGGGGGGAAAGAGGGACTCGGACGTGTCTTTCCTTCCTGGGGGAATAGGAAGAGGACTGCAGTTCGTTGATATAAACAGAACGCGCCTCCTAGTTCACTCAGGCCTTGGGCCGAGCGGGGAGCAGACTTTGTTTAATTTTAAATAATAATAAATGTCACTGTTGTCAGTTTATTGAGGGAGGCTTCGGCTGGAGAACGGGGGCGGGGGGCGTCTGGAAAGGCGGCTCCACCCTCCCCCTTCACACACTCGGTGGCTTGGGCCTACCGTTCGCCTGCTCCACACGCCTGCTCGGGGCATCCTCTGGCTTTTTGCTTTGCGGGACGCGGAAGACCCGTCCAGCACGGGTAGGGATGTGGCCAGGACGTCCCCAGGCCTGGGCGCGCGCGTGCACATGCTCACACACTCACACTGACATACAGAGCTGCACCACTCTCCTTCCTCCTCCCCCAGAAGTCTAGCATTTCTAGCTAAAACTCTGCGAGCTTTTAAGGGGAACTCCGGGGCGAGTGTCTTGGCGAAGCTGCCGTGTTTATTGGTGTCTGTATATAGAGCCCGGCCGAGCCCCGGTTCAGTTTTAAAGGCTTCGCCTGCTTTCTATAAACAATGAAAGAGGTAGCGAATACATCCAACGATTCAGAGTTTGACAATCGGGTGGGACCCTGGAGCCACTCCAAGGTCAGGGAGGGTGGGAATGAGGATTGGAGTAAAGATAAAGTCCAAGATCCCTGAAACCCAAAAACCTTCTAGACTCTGTCTTCTCTGGGTCTCTGTTTTCTGTTTTCTCCTTTCCCTCTTCTCTCTTTCCCTCATTACGAATCCAGATAGCACGGCCTCCCAAGCTCTTTATTCTTTCTATATGTGAGGTGGGAGAAATGCCCAGTTTCCGGGCTTGAACTTCTGGAGTATTTCCTCCATCCTAGGAGAGATCAATGGAGGAATCTCCTTGTGCCTCTTTAACCAGGATCTATCTTTCGCTCTCTCTCTCCTCTCCTCTCCTTTCTCTTCTTTCTCTATATTCCCTCTCCTTTTGCCCCTTTCCTTCCTTCTTCTCTTCCAAGCCACCTTTTCTTCTTCACCTCTCCCACAATTTCTCCTCGTCCCTCTCTCTACACAACAAACCATCTCACCTTCCAGCCTTGGTTATGATCATTTCCGTGCCCACTTCGTGGAATTTTAGCCACAGTTCTCTTTCATGGAGAAACACTTTGATTCCCTCCATGCCCTGCAAGAAGGAGAAAAAAGTCACACTAACAAGCCCTGGCAGTAGTGGGCATTCCTTCCCCAAACTCCCCCAAAACACAGAGACTGCTCCTCCTTCCCGCTGGAGCCTGTGGTCTCAGAGAGTAAAAAGTGGCTTCAGCCCACTGCAGAATTATCTGGAGCACCCAACAGCCTCTGCCCAGGGATCCCTATGTAGGCTGAATCCCTGAGGGTTGCAACAACCACTTGAACCCACAGTGCTGTATTGTCTGCTTCTAATGCCATCAGCACAAGGCTATGGAGTGATCACCCACCATCAGGGTGCTCCGGAATGTCACTGAGGAGGACCGGAATAAGAAAAAACCAACCAAACAAACAAACCAAAAAAAAAAAACCAGAGCCAATTTCAATCCACTTCACCTGAGATGGGTGGGGGGGATAGATAAAAAACCTAATTTAGAAAAACTAGGAACCTAATCTAGAAAACCACTCAGAATATTCTCATGTAGACACTCAGATGCCCACACATCAAACATACAGATGTGCAAATACTTGCTTATTCTCGACCATGGTGAGTGCAAACCTGAACATACATGAATTTTGAAACCTAAAAATGTTTGTATTATCATATATTCTTACAGTCCAGAAGGATAATTAATCCTAAATATCTATATTAACAAACCTTCCAGGCTCTCTCTACAAGTAGTTCCATTCACATCCAGCTATTTTGATTATAGGACACGCCTGATGCCATTTAACATTTTGGCTTTCAGCTAAAACTAAATTTACAGAACCGATGCAAATGTATATATATACATATATATACATATGTGCACACACACATACATGCACACACAAACTCTTCATTTTGGAATAATTTACAACAGTCTAAAAAGTGGGTTTGCTTTTCCTTAAAAGAAAAAAAAAAATCCCTAAGTTTCCTAAACTGTGTTCACGCTCTCTGCTTCTCTACAAATATACACACGTTTTCCTGAAACTTAAAGGCCAAAGAGAGAAGCCGGGAAAAGCCAGGAAGGGATCGAAATCCCAAGGCAGGATTTTAGCCATGTGTAAGTGTCTCTTCTGGTCGTCACCCCGTTTCACCCCATGTGACACCTTATTTAAAAATTACCAGGATCTACTGAGGGGCCGACTTGAGCGCCCAGTGCGTCCTGGGTTTTGGGCGCAGAGCGCAAGGTGAGGCTCCTCCCTCTGCCTGGGCCCAGGTTGTAGCCTGGCGAACCCGAGGCTCCTGGTGCCCTCCGGGCAGAGCTCTGTGCGCTCCCAGCGGCCGGTGATGGCGCGCCAGCCAGCCAGGCCCCGACCGCAAGACAAATGGTGCGGCGCGCGGGTCTAGTCGGCGGCGCGGAGGAGGCAGGAGGAGGCAGGAGGAGGCGGGAGGAGGCGAAGGCTACGGAAGATCAGAAGAGGGGTCAAGCCATCGCTCATGCCGGCCTGAATCGGCCGCTGACCTGGCCCTTATTAAGATGCTGGGGGCCGATTCTACACATAGTGCAGAGGGAAAGGAATTATCTAGGCCATTGTTAGCTGACCCCAAACGGCCGGATAATTGAGATTTCTCGAACAATTTAAATAGATTTCAAAAATCCTTTGGCCGTAAAGATAACCGTCACAATAAAGTAGATGGCAATACGCTAGCATTTGGGGAGACAGGGCAGAGAAAGGTGGAACTGAGTGGGAATAAAAAGGAAAAGGGATGATTATAGTCGTTGGGTTCGTTTTGGGGTTTTTTTATTTTGTTTTTGTTCTGTCCCCGCAAGAGAAGCCGAGCAGGAAAGCCAGACTCTGACTTTGATCTCTGCAAAGGGACCCGAAGCGCGAGGTCTCCTTACCTGCTGGGTGAAGGCGGCCTGCGGGGACGACGGGGACTTGCTGGGGGCCCCGAGCGCGCTCTCGGGTTTCGAATCGCAGGGCAGGTCTTTTGCGTCAGGCTCCAGAGGCGTGTGCGCCAGGCCAAAGCCCTCGTCTGCGTCGGCCATGGTGCGCCCAGGGCCCTGTGCCCGCGCAAGGTTCTGCTCTGAGGACAAGAAGCAGGGGGAGATGGGGGTGGGGAGGACAGAGAGAGAACGAGAGAAAGGTTGGAGAGCACAATTCTAGTGACAGGAGGGAGCAGTTTGGCCCCCAGTTTCCAGCTACCAGCACCTCCGTTCCCAGCCGAAGGTGACTGCAGAAGGCCCTAGAATTATTACTGTTACTAGTATTCCTAGTAGTATTACTATTACTTTATAAGCAGGCACAACTTCTTGCAAAAGACCCGCGTCAGACCCGGAGAAGGTGAGGCCCGCATCTCCCCTGCGCAGGCTCTCCGTGATAAGCAAGCTGCCCGTCAAATTTGTCTGGACTTCTGGAAGAGCCAATAAAGATAAGGCGTGGGTATTTTTGGAAGCCACTGGGTAGGAACCAAAAACAAAACAAAACAAAAACCCAGTGTCCTTTAGAGAATTTCTTTCTTCGCCAAATTACAAGATGCCGTCGAAACTCTTTTTATTAAACCTCACAAGAGGAATAGTTTTCTGCAGCAGGCAGAAATGTGTGAAATAACCCGCCTCTTGCAAAAAGAAAAACACAGAAGGGGAAGGTTGTGCAGATTGAGACTAGGTTCAAAAGAGAATTCATATACACCTTTTACCAGTTACAGGCCTTAACATTAAAAGTCCTTTAAAATTAAACATCCTTTTCTTTATCCCAACCTTAAGTAAGATTCGTTAAAAGATAAAAAGTAGCCAAACAGAAGACTAGATGAAGAAAGTCACCGTGCAGCCGTTCCGAGGAAGGCTCGTCACTGGGTGCCCGCCACCAGCGCTCTGATGCCGGGCGGGGGATGGCGGGCATTTTGTGGAGTGACCAGGCCGAAAGGGGTTTCTCTGAACTTCAGCCAGGCCTGGCCTGCTAAAACTGCAGGCTCAGGCTCAGGATTGGCGAGGACAAAATCATTCTCGGATAAGTCCTAGGCTGGAGACATTGAATCTGCAGCCCGGGTCCCCGCAATGCATAGAACGGCCCGGGTTTGCAGGCGTATGAGCTTAGAACACACAAAATAACTGCCGCAGAGCTGTTCAAGCCCGATGAGCCTGTCTCCTGCTCTCTGATCTCCTTCCAATCTCTTCTATACGCAAGTAGGAATTCCCCCTAGAACGGGAAGACTTTGGGAAGCGGGCACAAGCGATGGTCCCCCAAAACCTCAGCAGCTGCTTAAGCAAGCGGCCAGATCCCACCCTGACCTGCTGTGGCCAGAGATCTAGAAATGGGGCCGAGGAGAAGGACAGCTTCTGAGGCCTGACTTGCAAGCAGCTTTCTTCGCCTCGTTCTCGGGGCTTCAGGGAGGCGGCGACTGGAGCCCCGCTGCCTACTCACAACAAAAGAAAGCAGGGCTGGCGCCCCTACACGCGCTCCCATTCACTGCCGGCCGCGGGGAGAATCCTACCCCGCGCCCTCGCCAGGGTCCCGGGGAGCTCTGGGCTGGCGGAGGCGAACAAGATGCGGTTTGACAGAACCAGGCCGTGCTTCTGCAAACCTCAATGCCGCTCCGCCAGCCGCGGCGGCCTCCCAGACTCCATTTGCCGGGGAGCTCCGAGCCGCGCAAAATCTCTGCAAGCTGTGCTCTGCAGAATGCAAAGCCGGGCTGGAATCCGCCATTCCCGCCGCCCCAGCCGACTCGGCCGACGAGCTCCCTCCTGAGCCTCCCGGGCCATCTGCCGGGACGGTTACCTCGTTCGGTGAAGCCGGTGCATTCACCACATCCTCTGCTGCTCCTAGCAGGGAAGCCGGCGGTGAGGCGGGGGAGCAGGCATGGTGGCTCCGGGGTTTATGCGGGGTTTACTGCTTACCCAGAATAGCGGCTACTGCTGCCTACTAGGGCGCACCTACCGCTGGAGCCTCCGCGGCGACTGCCCACCTCCAACACACACCTCCTCTGCTGTGCGCTTGCTCTCCCTAAATACTTCCCAGTTGGCAAGCGCCAAAGAACACAAAATAGCCTCCAAGAGCACCGGCAACCATATAATCTCAGTGCCCCGCTCCTCCTTTACACCCCCAGGGAGGGAAAGTTGGAAGCCCAGTGAATGGTCGAAGTCCTTTCTGAGCGCAGCTTTCAGGATTAAAGTTCCCGGATTCGAGGTAAGAGTCAGTCTCTCTCACTCTCTCTCCCTCTCTCTCTCTCTCTGAAATACAAGCCAACTCAGCTGAGCACAGTGACGTTGGGTTGCCTCGATGCTCACAAAGTACTGAAATCGCCTATCCAACTAGCTCCCACTGCACTCTGTCGCCCTCCCCCTTCTCTCTCCCTCCCACCCTCCCGTCCTCCCTTCCCCCCACCCCAAATTTCCACTAGATTTCCCGAACACTCAAATCACAATACGACTCTCAACACAGACCTGCAATAACTCCCTCCTCTCTACCCCTTTCCCAACCTCCATCCATCTCTGCTTCTCTGAGCAAGCGGTGGCTGCAAAAACTCCTGCACAAATCATTTCAAACGCGGTCGGCTTCTAATCGGGAAGTAATCTCAGTGACGCTGGCGGTGCAGAGAACCGAGTCTGGACGCACACACACAAACACACCGCGGGCCTCCGCAGCCTTGCAGACATTCTCTCCAACGCTGACCTCGAGAAGGAGAGCTGCCTGACCCCGCCTGGCCGGCGCTCGCCTTCCTGACATCTCCCCTCCACCCCCTACTCATCACCCCTACTCTCAACGACTCTGGGGTGAAGGCAGGGTGAAGGTGCATTGGGATGGGGGCCGAGATCAAAGATGCTAAGAAATCGCTGCGGGCCCTCACCCCCCACCCAGTGGGGCCACCAGACGTCCCCTGCTCCAGGTGTACACAAGGCAGTGCCCAGTTTTATTAAAATAATCAAACAGTCACTGGGGACTGGCTAGGGTTTTCATCTCCACTGGTCTCCTCTCCTTGCCCTTTCCCTCTCTGAGATGTATTTTTTTTTTTTAGGGTGAGTTGAAGAGGTCAATAAAAGCACAAACACAGTCAGTAGGTCTCAGTCTGAGCAGACCCAGATTGGGACACCGAATATTGGTGCTTGGAGTAAATGTCAGGAGTCCTGTTCTGTTTCCCATCCTTACCTCCTGTACCCCCATCATACTGATTTTTCTAGGGTTCTGATAAGAGACTTGGGCCTGCAAGTCAAGGTCTGGAGAAAGGGATGGAGGGAGGAGAAATGCCCCGAGGTCAGCAGCTGTGTAACCCTCTGTGACTGCTCTGCTAAAATCCCAGGCCAGGCCATTGCTGCAAAATGCCAAAGTGGAGAATCTCCAACCCTGAATGTGGGGCAACCGGGGAGAAAGCCAGCCCTCCTTTGCTATGGTGCTCACTCCACCTTCCAGGTTTGTTTGCAAACAGATATTTTCCCTTTGCCCAGGCGATGTATTTATTTGTGAAAACACCCTCACCCTCCAAGTCAGCTTGGAGGCCTTTAGGCTTGCTGGCAAGGCGACCCTAGGCCGAAGACACGAAAAACAAACATGGCATCGGAAGAAGGCTGAACCGCTACATCTCCAGTAGAGGGAAAGGGAAATCCAGAAAGACCTTCCCAATCCCTTTAAGTTCTCAGAGATTTGGGGATAAAATTAATTCCCATAAATAATCTTCAGGCCCCTCCAGAGAGGAAAAATCTGGACTCTCCCAGGTAATAGCCCAGCCAGATTTGCTTAGCTCATTGAGCACAGATGGTCTGGGCCACCAAGCAAAATAGGGATTTTCAAACCTTTCGAGAGAATCCATTCTTGCCAGGTGACACACGAAGCCATTCTTATTTCGTTCATGAGAAGTAGCAGCACAGCAAGAGAAGATTCAGCAAGACTAAGACGGGGTGAAAAGCCAAGGAGGGCCAAGTGCAAAGAGAAACCTATTTCCCCCCTCAGTCCTCCAGGGTGAAACTCACCTCCAACTATCCCACCTCTTCTTTGGAGCGCAAAAGCCAGGAGTGCGCCTCGCTGGAGAGCAGGGCTCAGGTGAAGACTTTGAAAAGGACCACCAAAAGAGACCTCTTTAGGCCAGGTCTTCTTCCAACGTCTGTCAAGAAGAGCACGTACCTCCCAGCTCAAGGTTGGTTTGTGGTCTCCGACAAATTAAATATTACTGTTTATTACCAGGCATACCCCAGTAAAATAAAGAGGCAACCAGGCGATAGCGACTATCTCACCAGCCGCTGCACCTATAGGACTTGGAGACGTCACGAGTCACGCAACCGGCCCGCGCGCTGTCACGTTTGGCTGGGGGGCAGCGGCGGGAGGTAAATTTCTCTCCGTCTTCGCCTATCAGTGCCGGGTCTGCGCAGCCACAGGTTCCGGACGTCTTGGCCCCGGGAATAAATAAAGACATAAACCAACCCGGCTTTCTCCGGAGGAATGAGGGTGATGAACATAAGACACAAATAGAGCCAAGATCGACTTTCTTAGGAAGGGGGAGAGGAGGGAACTCTTCACGAAGGGAGGTGGGAGTCCACCTCAGACCTCTATTGGAAGGAAATCGAGTTGTTCCGGGGGACTGAGGTCTCTTGCATAAGGCATGGGATCCTTATTATTATTATTATTATTTTTAAATCCCCCGCGGAGGAGCTCTGGGCAAATGAATACCGAGGCGCCGCTCTAGCTGGTTAGGCTTGGGATGCGATAACTCAGTGCCCTCTTGCAGACTTGCATAGAAATAATTACTGGGTTGTCGTGGAGGGGACACGAGACAGAGGGAGTTCTCCGTAATGTGCCTTGCGGAGAGAAAGGTCCAAGAATGCAATTCGTCCCAGAGTGGCCCGGCAGGGGCGGGGTGCGAGTGGGTGGTGGAGTAGGGGTGGGAGTGGAGAGAGGTGGTTTCTGTAGAGAATAATTATTGTACCAGGGCCCGCCGAGGCACGAGGCACTCTATTTTGTTTTGTAATCACGACGACTATTATTTTTAGTCTGATCAATGGGCACAATTTCTAAGCAGCGCAGTGGTGGATGCTCGCAAACTTTTGCGCACCGCTGGAAACCCACTAGGTTGAGTTGCAAAACGTACCGCGTAGACGCCCCTGGTGGCGCCGAGAGAAGAGCTAGGCCTGCCCAGCACAGAGCCGGAGAGCGTCGGGCCTTCCGGAAGGGTAAGTTCTCCGCCAAGGGGTCCCGAGGGAGCTGGACGTCTGAATCTGGACTTGCCCCCAGCTTCGGGGTTCGATTCTGGGTTTTGCGCGTCCCCAACCCCCAGGGCTTTCCGAAGCATGGCCTGGCTCCAGGCCCGGTCCTGTAAGGACTGGAACGGCAGCAAAATGTGCAGGGAGGCAGTCGGCCGGCAGAGCTGCGGCGGGAGCCAAGGTCAGGCCCGCGGGGAGAGCGGGCAGCTTCCAGCGCCGGCCACAAGCTCCCAGGCCAGCTGGGCCGCAGACCCCTTTGCTTCCAGAGAGCACAACCCGCGTCCTTTCTCTCAGCCAGGCTGCAGTGGCTGCCCCGAGCTTCGCTTTCGTTTCCCAAGCTGTTAATAACGATATGTCCCCAAATCCGAGGCTCGTGTTTGCTCCCAGATGCCAAGAACGCAACCCGAAATCCTTCTCCCAAACCCTAGGTCGACGAGATGAGTTCCTACTTGACCTCTGAGCCGAGGTGGGCCGGAAACCGAGGCCTAGGCCCCGCCGGGGCTGCAAGGAAAAGGGGAAACTCCGAGCGTAGCGTCTTTTCCTTGTGGTTCCTTTCTCCGGCATCCCGGACTGCGGGCCCTGCAGCCACCTGGACCGGCATTCAAAGGATTCTGCAAGTCCAGCTTCACAGACTGGCTTTCCCAGACGCTCCGAAGCCCGCACCACGAACAGAATAAAGGAGAGACGAGAGATCGCAACTAGATTTGAGAATCCTCGTTCTTTTCCCCAATCGTTCGGGCAGTAAACTCCGGAGCCGGCTACAGCGCGCATCCTCCCTTCCTCCTTTCGGAGAACTGTCGCTTTCCCGAAGCTGCTCCCAGCTGGGTTTTCTCCCGAAGTTTATTTTTCTCATTTTGCAAAATTCCTGCCCTGATTTTAATACTGCAACAGGACAGCAGAGGTTCCTCTTTAAAAAGTCAAAACCCAAACCAAAGGGGCCCATTGCTGTTGATAATTTTTTTCTTCACCTTCTCCTTCCGTTTTTAAGAAAGACACTTCCAAAACTACCCATTGTTTTCCTCTCAAAAGAGAACTCGCTTTAAAATGCATCCCTTTCTATTTCTCTCCGGATATGTCCCCACCTGACCCGGTGGCAACTTGTGGGGCGTGGGGGTAGTGAAAAATAGAAGTGTGGACGGGGCTGGGAAAATGAATAAGAATTATAACAATAGAAATGATGACAAAACTAAACTTTGACCAATTCAATTTGCAAAAGAAAGGGTTGGTCTGAGGGTGAGACATTCCCTGGTTTCTCAAGGGGGTCACTTTCCCTCTCACCGAGTTAAATCTGGCTCTGTTATATTTTTTCCAGGAACACAGTATGTCTCTTCCCAATGTTTTATTCGGTTTCTGGTTTCCCCACTTTTGACCGGAAGTATGTGGGAAGAATACTGGCTGTTATTATTATGATTATTGAGTGTCCAATACTCTCCTCCAATATTTCCACCAAGAATTATTATCGCTGCTCTCCTCATTCATGTTAGTGTTGCTTTGTGTGCTTTAGATGACAATCGTCCTCTTTACTCTCCAAGTTTGGAGGGTGAGGGTTTTTTGTTGTGGTGGTGGTGGTTGGGTTCTTCTTTGTTTTTGTTTTTTTGTTTTTCCTGTTCGGGGTAATGAAATGAGAACTGGAAGAGAGGATATCATTTCGAGGCCCAGCTGAGAAGGATCCCAATGCGAAAAATTTACACACTTCAAAGAGCAGAAAGGTGGAAGCGAGTGGTGCTTGGACACAAGGATGCCACTGTTCTTATCTCCTCCAATTTGGGAAGTGCCCAGCCTAGAAAGGTGAGGGTCCCATCTGGGAGACCATGGAGTACCCCCAGGGTCACACTGAGCCTAAGAACTTCAACCATCCTGCAGGTCAAAACCCACTGATAGGTCTCCCAAAATGTTTGGGGTAGGGGGAAGAAACATAGGGCATTCCAGGTCTGTAACCCTGCAAGAGAGAGACTCAAACTAATATGTCTAGGTCTGGGGTGAAGGTGGGGGGCCTGTCTGGATACCTCCTCCCTCAATTGAAGGGCTCGTTGGAAACATAGGAACCCACTGCTCTCTGGGACTCTGGAAAGACAAATTTTCTTTGGCAAACGGAACAGTGTCGCGCTGTCGACAGAGCAGACTATTTTTCTTGTTCCCTCACAAGGTGGGGGTGGGGGGAAAGAAAAGGAAGCAAGAAAGAAAGGGAAATTAAATCCACACGTGTTAAGCTCGCTCAAAGGGCCAGAGTCAAAACCAGAGATGAAACTTCGACTCCAGTTCTGGCTGCCCGCGGGCCTCTTTCCAACCAGCCAGGCCTCACAGAGCAAGGCATCCCCACTGGAGAGAATTCGATCTGATGTTTCATAAAGCGCTTTATTTAAGGAGAAGGGGCATGGGTCTGTCTCCAAGTCTGTGCTGCAGAAATCCAGAATTTGTAGCGGCAAAGAAAACAAAGGAGATAACAATTGTAATCATAATGACCCTCTTTATGAAAACTCATCTTGATGTCCTCCAAATCAAAACAACAATTCAGGCAATATTCAAGCAATGGCCAAAATCATCCAGGCCATTAAATCATCCAGGCCATTGTTTTACAAAATTCCTAAGGTCTGATCAGGCTTTCGGACTTGGGCCTAGCTGGGTCAAGAGAACCTGAAATGCTGTTGTCAAGAGACTCTGAAATCACCAGTTTAATCAGGACAGCTAATCTCTACATCCTTGAGGCCTCTCTTTTGGGGAGAGACTTTCTTGAGAGAGGACACTACAGGACTCAGCTACAGAGCTCTGCTATACATGGGTGGGAGTGGAGGCCGCCACCCCACCTGGAACTGTGAGTGAAAACTCTAGTAATGATCTTGAGGAGGTGAAGGGAGGTAGGTGGGGGTGTGGGTGATGAGGGAGGCCAAACCCCAATCTGGAAGGATCTGTCACTGAAACAATTGCTTGGTCGAGACCTCTAATTTTTCTTCCTCTCCAGCCAGTCTCCTGTGGCTCCCTGGTGCTGGGTTTCTGGCCTTTGGTGACATCCTAACAGAAGGGTCCGGAAGCAGGGACCCCAGACACCTTGCTCCCTCTCCCAAATCACACCCAAAACATACTGGGGTGAAACAACTGACAGAGGGTCTCTGTGGTGAGCAACTGACTGAAGTTTCCAGTGGAAAAGTTCCTGACGATTGTTTCCGCAGGGACCTTGAATTTCCTGGTCACCATGGCGACCTGGAAGTCCCACCGAATGCTCTCAACAATGGGGTACCCCGAGGACATTCGTGCAATTGGCTGCGCAGTCTGAGGCCTGAAAAGCGTTTCTGCCAATCGTTCTTGACTTTCTGGAGCCTCCTTAGTGGGTTCAACGGAGCAGGGATTTTTAAAACTGCCCCCTTTTTTAAACAGGGGAGAAAATTGAGATTTAGTACCAGGTGGGTTCAGGTCCTGAGCAAAAGCCCCATCTTTGAATTCAGAATGCTGACCCCAGGGCCGATCGTGTAGAGCCTATGGTGTATCTTAATCGAAACCCGTGGCCCAAACATCTCAGCCAGGAACCTGGGACTTTAGGTGTCACTTAATCTCTTCACACCTGTTAACTACACCTATCTGCATAGGAGGCTCCCCACATCAGTCCAGGCAACTTTTTTCTTTGCCTGGGGCCATTTCTTCTAAATGGAAGGAGAAAAGTCTGAGCATTAGAAATTGTGGCATTAATGTCTGCAAGGGCTAATGGAGTGAAAAGAATACATTATTCTCCTTTTCTTCTTAGAAAAAAATTTCAATTGTGGATGTAATAGAAATACCATTAAAATAATATTTCTGATTGCATTGCTTTCTTCTTGAATGTTTATCAGAGGGGAGGGGGAAGTGGATCTTTTCATTTTGGGGTGGACAGTGGATAATACAGGCTGATTTTCTTGTGTCCGGTTCGGAGGCACTGCGCCTGCAGGGTTTGGCAGCGATGCAGGCAGCAAGGAGAGAAAGGGTGACAGAGAGAAGGCGTCCAGGCCTCAGGTGCCGACAGAGGTCTTTGGCGGTGGGACGGGAGCTACTCCTCCTCTGGGTCCTCTCTCAGCTTTGTTCCATTCTGCTGCCAACCCCATCTTTCTCCTGACTGCTCAGGAAAGACAAAATTTAACTTCTCTCCCCCTGTTTCCAACAGGACATCTAATGTCCCTCAAAGCTGCTGGCTGGCTCTGTAGTGCCTCCACCCATTCCTTTCTCTTCTGAGAGCCCAGGCAGCCTACAGAGGCTCCCGCTTCTAACCCAACGCCTCCTGTTTCCTTCCCTCCCCAGCATTTTGCATTAATATTTTAGAAGAGTCCTACTTATGTCTACACAACCACCAAGAGAGCAATGTGAGTATTTTAGGCTCACAAATCTGTTAGCATTTGAGGTGCAATAATAGCCAACATTTATGGCAGGCCAGGAAAGAGCCATTGTAACCTGGTTTTGCTCACACATTTAGCTCTGAATCGCTCTATGAGAAGAGAGCTCAATTCTCCTCAACCTTACAGAAGAGGTTTCTGGCGCTCTGGCCACCGCCCCACTCTGGTGGGATTCGAACCTATCAGAAGGCAGGGTTCCTCTATCAAGGCAGGAAGGGGAACCGGGGAGAGGTCTGTTGGATTGGGGGAGTGCAAAGGGCACTTTTTCAGCGTCGAAAAGCACACTTAGTTGAAAACCGGGGGGGAATTGGTCCTTCTGTCACGGAGCGAAGGCTCACATCATTTCTGATGTCTCAGTCTTTTCTCCCCATTCCCACTGAGGCCCCAGAAGAGAGCCTGGGGGCAAACAGCCCAGATTCACTGGCATTAAGCAAGATGGGAGGGAGGACGGAAAGATGCTGATGTTCTCCTTTCCAAACCTCACTGTTCTATTCCCAAATCCTGGCCCACATTCATCATAGCCTCAAGGCCAGTACACACTGTCCCCTGGCTTTGAGGGAGGAAGATGGGTGGGTGGGATGGAGCCGGGCAGAGATGTGCCCGGCTCCATTTTTTTTTTTTTTTTTGAAACAAATAATTAGGCTGTGAGAGGGTGAGGACTTGCCCGAAGTCACACAGCCCCTGCTGGAAATGCACACAGCCCCTGCTGGAAATGCGCACAGCCCCTGCTGGAAATGCTCCTTCCCTTTCCCTACTCTCCCGCGCCTTCAGGTAGAGCGTTTAAGGGATTCCCAGCAGTTCCCGAGTACACGTGGAGGCTGCTCCCCGGCGTGCTGGAGCGGCTGCGGGCTCAGTCTGCGGAGGGCGCCCCGGTGAAGTGTGGAGTTCGCAGTCGGACGCGGCCGCCCGGCCTCTCGGTTCCGGGCCTTCCCCTCCCAGGCACTGCGTTCTGCGGCCGGGACAGCACCCGCCAGGCGCGGCCCTTCTCCTATCTTTGCTCTGTGGCTCTCCCTGGGGCCGGAGGAGTCCTGCCGCCTCAAGGCCCCAGACTCCGCACCCGGAGGGACTTGCCGCTAGCGCCGCTCCTTCAGCCTCCCCAGGCGCTCCCTTCGCTTCCCGGTGTTTCAGGCTCTTCCCACCGCCTGTTTGCTCTGGGCGCAGCGCTGGCTGCCACACTTGCAAGTTAGGAAGAAAATGACTTCTTTAGAAAGTGGGGGACTCTGAGATCCAAACCCCTCGAGCAGCGCCTCAAAGGGAGGTGCAAGGGATCCCCACTCTCTCACTTCCCTCCCTTCGGTTCCCTCCACCCTCCTCCACCTGTGTCCTCCCTGCTTCGGAGTCATTCTTTTAGTGCCTGAGTCTTTCCACCTCCACGTAGAATACATTCCCTCCGAGGCACCCTCAGGTGATCCTGCCTCATCTCCAGGATCCTCGGCTACCCCCCAGCCCAGGCCACCCCCATGCTAGCAGACATCAGGCTCAACGTTTGGGGTTCCTCCCAGATTTCTCAGCCTGCTCTGCTCACTAGCAACGGCTCCCACAGGAGCCCCGCATCCTGGTTCCTGGTCCCCGTGGGTGAGTCTTGATGAGCGCCCAGGACCCAGGAGGCTAAGTCTTAAAGACAAGGGCCAGTCCTATAGCATTCTTGCCCATGCTCCCGAACTCCATCTTCTAACAAAACCAGAGGGTCCAGGCTGCCCAGCTGGAGAGGTCTGTCTTCTGTGTGGCTGAATATGGCATTGTCCTGGAGTCTTTCTATAGGACTGAGTCATTTGAGGGGGAGCTTTACGTATCTCTGTGCTGTTGTGTTAGTTGTGTGTGTCTGTGTCATTACATGTGCTTCCTTGAGAGGGGGCATTTCGAAAATAGTTACCTATGCACTTTTTCTGTGGACCTCCTTATGTGAAAACAGCTGTGAGCCTGTGGAACATGGGGTCTTGTGCATGTGTGTGGTGGGAGTTTGTGTGAGCCTGTGTGTCATTGTGGAAGGCAGTGTGTGTGAGTGTGTGGGTGTGGGTGTTTAGAGGGCGGGGCAGCCACCGCCCAAACATCACCTCGGGTCAGATGGTTTTCTGGGCTCATAACCTAATGCTCAGTGCCCCCCCCTCCTTTTATTGGCCACTTTTATGATTATTATTTTTACCGACAGCTCCAAGCAGAGGCCTGTGGGCCTGGGCCTCCTGGAAGGCAATCACTGTTCTGCCATTCAGCCTGGGAGGCCAAAGGGGCTGTCTGCAGCAGCCTGGGCCACCCGAGTCTATATTTGGAAGCAAATTCCACAGCCACTTCCTGGGAACTGGGAAAAAGGTGCCTGGGAATTGGAGAGGACAGTGTTGTCAGTGCAACTTCGTCCCTGTCCCCGAGCACGCAGGGGAAGCCCTCACACCCTTAGCAGGTTGGAAATAGCAGGTGCAAGATCCATGCTGGGCACGAACACGGGCAGAAATGCACCCCTTTGCAGTATTGGAGGCACAGTTACTTCCTCCATAGGCGGAGTGAAAGGCTTGAGTAGGTGATATACAGGCACAACCCACCTACTGGCATGCAAAGCACCTGCACCACAGTTGTGCACATGCTCCCCGGGCACACACCTCCTGGG
Source organism: Homo sapiens (assembly GCF_000001405.40). Lineage (NCBI taxonomy): Eukaryota > Metazoa > Chordata > Mammalia > Primates > Hominidae > Homo > Homo sapiens. Next base: position 114,415,992 of record NC_000012.12, read on the forward strand.
CCTTCCCCAGTACCAGAAGGACAGGGGAGTTGACTCTAAATCCTGATTATGTGTACTTCTTGGAAATTGATTCCAGGAGATCAGATGAACCAGTCTGGCTGCCCACAAGTCCTTTGCCCAAAGCAGCCTTTGACCTTGTCCCCGAGGGTTCACAGACCTGGCGGACTCCAGGGAGGGTTTGCTTCTGCTGCTCCATAGATACCAGGGTGACAGCTCCAGGGCTGGCATGATTAGAGACAGCTGCTTGCAGCAAATCTTTCCTAGGCTAGGTAAAGACCTGGACTGCTGAGCCGATCCCTCTGCCAGCCATCAGCCACATGGTGAAGCAGCAGCAATGATCTGGCCTTGGCCACCTATGACACCACGGGGCTGGGAGAAAGCTGGTTCACCTGTTCAGGGTGGCCCAGCCCCTCACTGACACCACAGCCTCAGCCCTCTGTTCCCAAGGGGTCAAGCAGTGAGATGCCCCAGACCCGGCCACTTGGGAGTCACTTATAGCATACACAGCCATGCACAGCCACCCACTTTGTATATGGGTGCAGCCTTTCTATCTCACACACACAGGCACGCCAAGCAGCCACCCACTGCGTGTCTAGGTTCAGCAATTTTGTCACATAGCTGCCACCATATTCATCACACATTCATATAAACATATATACTATACATATATATAAATACATGTATATATTAACATATGAATTCATACATGCATAGACACAGTCACATACACATTCTAGTATTCAAAGTCACACAAAGCCACACATGCACACACCCCTGTACACACATGGTCTGATCACAAACCCACTGCCACTCTCATGGTCACGTTCAACAACACATCACAGAAACACACTGAATCTTTGATATGCACAAACACACATGTATACTCTTTAACACTCAGCCTCACACAATAGGCAAATACCCACAAACATACACCTCTTTGTCCACATACACATACTCTCACACAAAGGCACACACCCACAGATACCAATTCAGACACACAATCCTGGCCACTCACAACCACCCACAGGCTCACAGCTGTGCATAAATGCACATCAGTTCAGTCACACACACACTCACAGTCACATTTACACTCCCTGTTGTCCACCCTCACACACAACCACACACTGCCCCCTACCCCCAGTATATCTCCCCCTTCAGTGTCAGGCACACACATCACAACCAAGGCCATGCATACACACACTTACAATGACTTCAATTTACAATTTTCCAACTTCAGAACGGGTTTATCCGGGTATTAAGTGCACTTTTGACTTAGCAATATTTTCATCGTACGACGAGCTTATTGGAATGTGACCCCATCTTACATGGAGTAGCTCACATGCACTCATAGCTGTGTGCACAGCTGTGCATGTGCAGCCACACACACTCTCACACACTCAGTCCCAAACCAGCCACACTCACAATTACAGGTCTTCCCCCTGAGTCACAGACATTAGCCCATGCATACTCTTGGATCCACACATACCCTCACGGTTGCATTCAGATCCATTCATTCTGGATTCACACGGTCACTGCATCATTCCAGGGTCCCCCACACATCAGCCTCAGACCCTCATGTATCCTCTTATGTGGCCACACACACACAGGTACACTTGGAGGCGGGCTGCCCCTGCCCAGCCTGGCAGAAGGAATTGTGTGGTCACAATTAGAGACTGTTCCCCACTGGCATGGTGAGGTTAGCCTGGAGCGAACCCCTTGATTCCACAGGTCCCACTCAGACTAGAAACCACCAATTCAGGAGGAAGAAAGACATGTGGGTTTGGAGCAGGCAAAAGAAAAGCCCATCTCCAGCCATGTCCTCAGTCCTCAGCCCACCCCTTAAGGTCCCAGGGCTTCGACACAGCCCCATCCTTGAGGATGGGACCTGAATAGTCCCTTAGCAATAACTAGTCCAACTCTTTAATTTTATATATGGGGAAACTGAGATCTAGAGGTGCAGAGAGTGAAGGGAATTGCTAAAGTTCTCCAGGAGTTCGAAGCAAGCTGAGAGTGGGACCGTTTTCTTCTGCCTCCAGTGCAAACCACACTACAGTGACCTCTGGGAGATTCCTGGATCCCATTAACCCCCTCTCCTCACAGCACCACCACTGCCATCACCATCCTTCCACCCAGTGGTCCCATCTAGCCCCCAAGGATGCCTGAGCTACCTGCCACTGAGGAAAAATGAAGCATCAGCTCATGTCCTGATCGTGTTCACAACCCTCCAAAGGTCAGGCACCATGGCTCATGCCTGGGATCTCAGTACTTTGGGAGATCAAGGAGGGAAGATTACTTGAGGCCAGGAGCTCAAGGCTGTAGGGAGATATGATTGCACCACTGTACTCAAGCCTGGGTGACAGAGTGAGACCCTGTCTCAAAACAAACAAACAAAAAGTCTTAGAATAAAACCTGAACTCTTTCCCGTATCAGGAAGGCCTTGCAGGAGCTGGCCCCTGCCTGCCCTCCTATCTCATCCTGCCCTCCTTTCTGCCTCTCCATTCCACCCACCTCCTTCTCTGATCCTCATTTGTACCAGCCTTTGCTCCTACCCCAGGGCCTTTGCACATGCCATTCCCTCTACTCCCAGCCCCCCTTGCAACTGCCTCCTCTGTGGCCAACCCCTCCGTGAGGCCAGCCCTGACCACTGGCCATTGAAATTCCCTCTCTCCATCTTATCACTCTGTTTTATTTATTACATAGCACTGACCACTATCAGAAGTTATTTTACCATTATCCTTAGCAAACTAACGAAGGAACAAAAAACCAGACACCGCATGTTCTCACTTATAAGTGGGAGCTGTGCAATGAGAACACATGGACACAGGGAGGGTAACAATACACACTGGGGCCTGTCAGGAGAGGGTGGGGGGTGGGAGAGAGCATTAGAGAAAAGAGCTAATGCATGCTGGGCTTAATACCTAAGTGATGGGTTGACAGGTGCAGCAAACCACCATGGCACACATTTACCTTATGTAACAAACCTGCACATCCTGCACATGTACCCCGGAACTTAATAATTTTTAAAAAATTATTTTGCTTATGTATTAGTTTCTTCTCTGTAAAATGGGGCTAACAGTGGTACTCCCTTCTGTTAGGGCATTTGTGAGGATTAAGTGAATTTCTAGAGGTAAAGCTTTTAGAAAATACTTGGTGTCTAATAAGCACACTGTATTGCTGTCATTTTTTGTTATGTGCTTAGTTATTATGTTTCCACCTCGGACTCTAAGCTGGCTAGAGGTCATGGCTGTTTCCTTCAACACCGCATCCCAAGTATCCAGGATTATGCCCTTCCTGTAATCGACACTAGTTAAACATGTGTTAAACAAAATATATAATGGTGTCATAACAGATGGACTTGAACCCAGGGAGACATATGCAAAACATATACAGATGCTCCTCGACTTAAGATGGGGTCACGTTCCAATAAGCTCATCGTATGATGAAAATATTGTTAAGTCAAAAGTGCACTTAATACCCGGATAAACCCATTCTGAAGTTGGAAAATTGTAAATTGAACCATTGTAAGTCAGGGACCATCGGCATAAGGAATCAATAAAGTGCATAGGACCAGGGAGCTCTCCTCCCTCTGGGCGATACAAATAAGAAGATGATTCTGAATGGCGATCAGTTTGCAGGGGAAAATACCCCCCTCCCCCGCAGCATGTTTTTTGGCTTTCTGAGCCTTGCTTCCCTGAGAAAGTTCCTCTCCTTCTGCCCCAAGTGGCCCCCATCACCGATTACCCCTCCCCGTCCCCTGGGCCTTTCTTTTGGCTACCTTTCCATCTCTTCCCAGGAGCCTGGAGAAGGAGCCAGCAGATAAGTGAAAGTGGTACTTTTTATAGGCTGATAAAACCCATGCTTATCTAGAAGGCTCTGTCCCATCTCCCCGTGTCCCTAATTGATCATTTGCCCAATGCCCTCTCCGCCAGAGCTGCAGACACCAGGGAAACGTGACTCAGGCCACCCTCCTTGGCCTTCTTGCCTCTCTGTTTAATTTCCCTGCCCTTTGCCTTTGTGAGAGGGGGGCTGCCCCATGCAATGTTTGCCAGGAGAATTTGAGGAATCAGGAGGGAGGTGAGAAGAGATGGGGAGAAGGATAGTGGGGTCCAGACTTTCCCAAGTGGGTTTGCTGTGCCACTATTTAATGATGCTAACTATATTAAATTCTATACTCTAGCAGCCTCTTAAATCCGTTTATGGCCCATGCTAGACCCTGAGCTATAATAATAATAAAAATAAAATAAAGGATTTATGCATCCAGGGTGTGGACCCGTCACTGGCAGAAAAGAAAGAGCTGTTTCTAGCTGATTTTGCTGGCCTGTTTCTCACACTCTGACCTCCTGTTTTCCCTGGGTGGAGGCTCCCAGGAGCAGGGAGAAGGATTGGATTCCTGGCAGAAAAGGAGATTTAGGGAGGCGAGAAAAAGCCAACTTAAAAGGAGCATTGGCTGGGCTCTTCTCAAACCAGTTTTTCTAAACTCCAGTCTCTCCACTTCCCTCTCTTGGGCTCGTGTAGAAGAATTTGTTTGTATTGTAGCTTGAGCAGACCTAAACCCAAATTGTGACTCGGAATTGAAAAGAGAGCAGACAAATGGAGTGGACATTGCTTAGAGAGGAAGCTGGATATTGTGGTTAAGCCTTAGGCATTGCCACGTGTCCAAATCCTAGCCCTGCCAGTTCCTAATTGAATGAACTTTAAGAACTAGGACTTACGAACTAGGGAACATAAGTCTCTTCACCTTTCTCAGCCTCAGTTTCTCAATCCATATAATGGGTTTCATAAGAATGTCGGCTTCAGGTGGTTGTTGAGAGGAAAAATAATACAATACAGTACAGTCATATGCCACATAAAGACATTTAGGTCAATGATGGGCCACATATACAACAGTGGTCTCATAAGATTATAATGCTGTATTTTTACTGTACTTTTTCTATGTTTAGTTGCACAAATGCCACTGTGTTATGATTATTTATAGTATTCGGTACAGAAACATGCTGTTCAGGTTGGTAGCCTGGTAGCAATAGGCTATACCATACAGCCTAGGTGTGTAGTAGGCTGTACCATGTAGGAGTTTACACTACAACCAAATTGCCTAGCAATGCATTTCTCACAACATATCACTGTTGTCAAGGGATATATGACTGTATATGTAAAACATCTGGCACAGGTTTGGAGTAGGTCTTGAGTGCACTGTGCTGAAGAACGCTGATCCTCTCGAGACAAGCAGAGGCAGGCTTCACCAGAGTCCCAGCCCACGGTGGGGAGAGGAGGCAGGAGAAGGATTCAGCAGCCATATGTGTAATTGATCTCTTGGAAAACATTAATACCAACTGATCAGTATCTGGAAGGAGAAGCTAAGCCTCCTCTGAGCAAGGTTTCTAAGAAACAGGAGGCAGGATGAGGACAGAAGGAGGAGGGAAGAAATGCTCATAGCCTGGTCGATGGGCCTGGAGATCCCTGGCCCCCATCGGGGGCAGAGGGAGGAAGCTTGGCTGTTCTGTGAATTCATAATCATGGAGCAATGGCCTCTCTGGTCTTCTGCGGCCCTGCACCCCCATCTCTGCTCAGCACTTAAGAACCTAAGTTGTAACCATTGACTTCCAGGCCTGTCTTCCTATAGGACACAGCTCTTTGGGGGCAGGAACTCTGTGATTGTTGTCTCCCAGCTCCCAGATCATGAAGAAGTGCTCATTAAGTGAATGGTCAAACGTGAGGACGGGGGCCTCTGGCTTTGTATTCCTGGCATTTGGTGTGGATGAGGCCAGAGTCGGGGACTAGGAGTGAATGTGTTCAGTTTTTCTGCTAGCTGTGGCATAATTCTCACTATCTGATTACCTCCTATCAGGAAACTAAAAGAATATATTTGGATCATCAAAAGAAAGGAAAAGAGTATATCAAAGAGATATTTGCACTCCCATGTTTGTTGCAGCACTGTTTACAATAGCTAAGATTTGGAAGCAACCTAAATGTCCATCAAGAGATGAATGGGTAAAGAAAATGTGGTACATTAACATAATGGAGTACTATTCAGCTGTAAAAAAAAGAATGAGATCCTGTCATTTGCAACAACATGGATCCATCCGTGCTGGAGGTCAGTATGCTAAGTGAAATAAGCCGGGCCCAGAAAGACAAACTTCACATGCTCTCACTTCTTGGTGGGAGCTAAAAATTAAAACAATCAAACTGACAGAGATAGAGAATAGAATGATGGTTACCAGAGGCTGGGAAGGGTAGTGGTGGTGGCGTGGTGAGTGGAGGGGTGGGCATGGTTCATGGGTACAAAATATAGTTAGAAAAAAGGAATAAGATGAGATAAGATCTAGCCTTTGATAGCACAACTGGGTGACTATAGTCAAGAATAATTCAATTGTACATTTTAAGATAACTGAAAGAGTATAATTGGATTGTTTATAACACAAAGAATAAATGCTTGTGGTAATGGATATCCCATTTGCCCTGATGTGATTATTAGGCATTGTATGGCTGTATCAAAATATCTCACGTTCCTCATAAATATATACACCTATTATGTACCCACCAAAATTAACAATTTTAAAAAAGAATCCATTTGGAGCCTATGGAAGATTGATTGCATCTAGTGACCCAATTTTCCATGCTACCTTCTACCCATGCTGACTCTATAGTGACCCCATTTTCCATGCTACCTTCTACTCATGCTGACTCTAGACTTGGCCTCTGTGACTCGCTTTAGCCAATGGGATAGTAGAAAACTCAACCCCTTGTATGTTTCTACACTCTTATCTCTCTGATTTCTTTGTGTGAACGATTCTGGGCTACCCTCCTGGAGGATGAGACACATGACTGAGTCTGCCCAGTTGTCTAAGCCAAGGCTCTAGATAAGTAAGGGAGTCCAGCTAAGACTACCAAAGCCACTTTGTTAACTGCAGCTGACCAGAAATACCTAAGTACACTCCATTTGGCAGACCTGTCCAGCTAACCCATAGATTCATAAGTAAAAAACAAATGTTTATTGTTGTCAGCCACTGGTGGAGGTAGTAATTTGTTACGTGACATAACTGCAGCAATATGGCTAACCAATAGAGCCTTGAGCTATATTTATCCCTGACTGGCTCCACATTTGAATTTTGGGCAAGGAAATAAATATTGGGCTGGGCACGGTGGCTCACGCCTGTAATCCCAGTACTTTGGGAGGCCGAGGCGGGCAGATCACGAGGTCAGGAGATAGAGACCATCCTGGTTAACACAGTGAAACCCCGTCTCTACTAAAAAATACAAAAAATTAGCTGGTTGTGGTGGCGGGCACCTGTAGTCCCAGCTACTCAGGAGGCTGAGGCAGGAGAATGGCGTGAACCCAGGAGGCGGAGCTTGCAGTGAGCCGAGATGGTGCCACTGCACTCCAGTCTGGGCGACAGAGCGAGACCCCATCTCGAAAAAAAAAAAGAAAGAAAGAAAGAAAGAAATTTTGAGGTTCCAGTTGCAAACATTCAGCCTGACTTTAATTTCCAGGGTTGACTATTTAAAGCATCAGAAATAGAGTGGTGCTTCTGGCTTCAAAATTGTGGAAACTGGAGCTGACAAGAATTCCAAGACTAGGTTTACACTGAAGCAATTTCCTGGTTCATCTAAATCACACAGACCTGGGTTTAGTAAGGCCAAGTGAGTGGAAGCCCCTTCTGAAATCTATGGCAGGTTTTTCTGTAGCACAAGTCATGCAATAGTGGACAGCATCCATTTCCTCCTCTGGTGACAGCATCCTGAGTTTCCCTTCCTAGCTCTCATTACCCAGTAGATGGCCAATTAGCATATTCTATCCTCCAGCTGCAATGATTGGTTCAGCTGTAGGCATGTGTTTAAATTCTATCCAATCAGAGGTTATCGTGGAACATCTGCTAGAAATGTGGGGAAGAGAAGGCCTCTCTACTGGCCTTAGAGTGTTAAGGGTGGAAAGCTTAGTGATACTGGCCACCATCTTGTTACCAGAAGGGGACAGTTTGCCCAAACACGCAAGTGATGTGACATCCCTAAGGCTCAGTATTTTTCATCTGTAAAAAGAGGATAATAACTATGTCCCCTCAGTATTGTTGTGAGGATGTGAGGAGATAATAAATAAAAAGTACCAGGTAAGTGACCCATAAATGTAAGCTATTGCAATTAATTCGGTGCAACTATTGACCTAGATCAGTATCTGATATTTAACTCATAACTAAAAATGAGCCTGTGTGTGTGTGTCTGATGTTTTCCATGTTTACATGGATGTTAATAAACATATCTAAAGCATCCATTAATCTGGGCTCAAGTCCCAGCATTGACAATTACATATTGTACAGTTTTCGTAGATTAGCAAGCTTTCTGAGCCTCAGTTTCTTTATGTCTGAAATCAGGAAAATTACAGGACTCACATAATCTGTTAGAAAAGTAGATGAATGATAACAATATGTGTCAGGTACAGTGCCTGGCACAGAGTGACGGCTCAATAAATGTTCCTAGTTTTTCCCTCATTTTTTCCCTTGATAATTGTTTAAATCTCAATTTCAAAGAATAGGTAAGTACATATATACTACAGTGTACAACCTCGGAGCCGAGACCTATTGAGCAAGACAAATCACCCCAAATTTCTGCTGTGGATAACTCAAGTCTCTGGGACATGGTGGGACATGGTTTTTGGAAAGAGGAAGCTTCTAAATGAGACATCAGCTCATAGTGCATTCCCAAGGAATCATCTACAAAGTGTCAGTGAAAGAAGCTGAGATTGTAAAATGTCTTCAGCAGGTCAAAGCCCAAAAGCAAGGATGTGGGTTTAAACACCTGGAGGTAGCTCAGGCACCATTTTATGGCAATGCAGCTGTAGGCTGTCCTGGTCCAGTTTTCCCTCAACCCCCAAAGCTCATAAAGTAGCCATGCCTCGATGTATGGGAAGAAACAATGAATGAATGTACTTTGACCCATCTGCTATGAGAGCTCAGAAATTTACCAGAAACAACTTACATTCCAAACAAAGAAGATATTGGTGCAGACCACATGGATCCTGGGGACAACATCCTCTTCTCCCAGGAGTATCAGTCTCCATTCATTTATGTCAAAGCCTGATTTCCCCTTCCACACCCCTACAAAGGAAATCAAACAGTACAGGGGTACAATATACCAAGAGACCTCTGGAGGGTTATTAAGCAATAACGAAAGACAGTCTTGCTCAGAGCTATCCTATAGTTTCTCTTCTGCTGGATTATGAAGGGAGTTCAAAGGATGGCCCTAAAGCCAAGGTGACTGGCTAAAGCGTTGACATTGAAAAAGGGTCTTTCATCTTTGTGTCTACATTCTGGTTGAAAGTCATTATCATCTCTTTGGAGCTGAGTGATTGCAGTGTTGAGCTGGTGGTCACTCATCCCAGCTGCAGCTCAGTTTCCACTTCTCAGTAGCCCTGGGCAGAGTTGCCCGAAAGGATTCATTCACATGACTGCTCAAGCATTCAGTGAATATTTGTTTAGAATCCAGTATTGCAACACTTCCTGGCCCATCCACTGTCTAATGTCTCATTTCATCAACAAGGAGAAAAAGGAATGGTGAAGTTTTTAGTAAGCTCTGGTGTGATGTAAAAACAACCTAATTCCTCCTGGTCTTTTGGGACTTTGGGGAGCATAGGGGGTAGGGAAGGGATCCCCAATGCAAAAGCACATATTGAATCAAGCTTTGTAAATAGATCCCCCTGTGCAGGGTATTTTTTTGTCATGGTTTCAAGCATAGACAGGTAGATATGGATGACCGCAGTTAAGTTATTAAAACACTCTAATCCTCAGTTTCCTCTTCTGTAAAAGGGCCACAATACTACCTACCTTTTAGAATTGTTGAGAGGATGAAAAAGATTCTTATATAAAACATGTAATGTACCCCAAACAGAAGGTTACCAAATCTAGTAGAATTGCTCTTCTCTTTTCATGTGCTCAATGTGTAGAACTAAGAAAATTTAACCCAGCGAAATAGTCTTTCAGCCTTTTAAGAGGGAAAAAGCCAATTCTGGTTAGGTTGTTTCTCAGCTTTCCTAACTGTATCTGAAAAAGTGAAGCTGTGAACACCCACGACGTAAGGATATTACAAAGATTGGGGGTTACATTTGCAAAAAGTCTGGCACAGTGGAGAAACACAATAACCTGACGTCAGGTATAACTGCCATCATAAGTGACAAGTCAGATCAAGGAGCCCGTGGGACTGAATTTGCCAAGGTTTAGTTCACTGCTATTCTCTTAACACTCACTTCTCAGCTCAAATATGAGTACTTAGTTAATGTGCCACTGGTCTACCGCTAAGAGCATCTTTTCCACCCTGTTTCTCTGGACCAGCTGAAAGAAATTTATCAGATGTAGATTTGAGCTATACTTGGAATTAACTGAATGCTCCAAGTTTATCTAATTCTAAAATCAACCTCCAGGATTACCAAGTAGGGGCTTGTGATTTAAATAAACATTGACTGTCTACTACCTGCTCAAAAACTATTCCTGGGGCTGAAGTTACAACAGTCACCAAAACAGACAAATATTTCTGCCCTCAAGAAGCTCATATTCTAATGTCATACCAATTACCAATGCATAAGAGGCCTACACAACTGGATATCAACTGCATCATGCTTTCTCTCAAGTGTCATTCTGGAAAGAACCATGCATAAAGATCTTTGCAATGGAAAGGGTAGAATTTACCCATATTGAGAAACAGATAGAGATACATATAGGTCTATATAAATACATAGCTTGAGATACAGAAAATGATCTGAGTACTGGCCCTGTGTCAGGCATTGTACTAAATGCTTGACTTAATTTTAATTCAAATTTAGTCCTCACAACCAGCTCCGAAATAGGCAGTCTTCTTGTATCCTGTTTACGCATGAGAACACTTGAGGCGCAGAATAAAAGTAATTTGATTTAATAAAGAGTTGCTCCAGAACTCCAACTACAATTAGTGTAAATAAGTGCAGCTTGTGAGTAAAAGCTGGGTTACTGGAATGGATTAGAGGGCATGAAATAAATTCAGACCAGCTAGAATATGGGACAGTGGAAATGGTTTGCCTGTGCATGGTGAGATGAAGGAAACCAGGGGCCTTTATGTTTTTGCAGGAAGGCTACCTTCCTGAACAAATCTTGAAAAAGTGACCCCAAGAAAGAAGACTTATGGAGACACACGTTGCTGAAGATGACTTAAAACGGACTGTGGTTTGAAGGTAGGTCTGAAGAGTCACATGGCTTTGAAAACCCAGCACCCATAAAGGCTTGGCCAATAAGCCTCATGAAACTATGAGCCAGTAGACACAGGAAGCTAAAAAGACTTTTTCCAAAGACCACTTCTGTGGAGTTCATGGAAGGCAAAGTCTTAGAGCAATCTCATATTAAGTGTCTAGTGAAAAAGCTGTCACCTTCCAAAGGATTAAATGTTATACCTGCAAAAATGCATGCAGAAACATTAGACAAACTCAAATAGAGGGATGTTTTCCAAAACAACTGGTCTGTACTCTTCAAACATGTCAAGATCAAGAAAGACAAAGAAAAACACAGAAACACTTCCAAATTATAGAACAACATATCAAGTAAATATAATGCATGATTCTGGATTGGTGGGAGTGGCATAGCCACACTAGCCATTATTGAGACAATTGATGGAAATGAAACGTAAACTGTGGATTTGATAATAGCGTTGAATTTTCTGATTTCAGTTATTGTGCTGTGATTATGTAAGATAAAATCCTTGTTTTTAGCAAATGCTCTCTGTTGTGTTTAAAGAGGCACAATGTCTCTAACTTGCTCAGATGGTTCATTAATAATTATTTATACAGGGGGAGAGAAAAAGAGAGACTACTGTCTGGAATGATTCTGTCTGGTGAGGAATTCAACAGAGAAAAAAGCAGAACCAAAAGATGAAGAGACATTGTTGGGGGTCCTTTGATCTAAATATACCTGAAGCTGACATGTCCATAAGCTTCCACATTTCATAAGCCAATAATTTCTCCCTTTAGAATTTTATTTTTGCATAAACCAGTGTGAGTTGTGTTTCTATGAGTTGAGTGAAGTCAGCTGAGAATCCATGAGTCCCGCTGATTATTGCGATGTAATATATGATCACCACATTGCAGGCACTGTGCTAGGCAACAGGTGGAAAAAGATGAATAAGACCCCCTCATCTTAATGGTCTCACAATGCTCCAATAAGGAGATGAACGTACAAGCAAATTATTACAACACAGGTAATATCTCTACTCAGAAAATCTAAATTCCAAAGCGCTCCAAAATCCAAAACTTTTTGAGTGCCAGTATGTTGCCACAAGTGGAAAATTCCACACCTGACCTCATGTGATGGGTCACAGTCAACACAGTCAAAACTTTGTTTCATGCACAAAATTATTTTAAAATATTGTATAAATTTACCTTCAGGCTATGTGTACAAGGTATATATGAAACAAATGAATTTCATGTTCAGACTTGGGTCCCTTTCCTAAGATATCTCATTAGGTATTTGCATATATTCCAAAATTTGAAAAAATCTGAAATCCAAAACACTGCTGGCCCCAGATATTTCTGATAAGGGATATTCAACCAACACAATACCATCTGATTTTGCTCAATGTCTCCTTGTTGCTTGAAATAGTTTCTCCTCTTCTTTTTTCTACTTTTTTTTTTTTTTTTTTGAGACAGAATCTCACTATGTTGCCCATGCTGGAGTGCAGTGGTGCAATCTCAGCTCACTGCAACCTTTGCCTCCCAGGTTCAAGTGATTCTTCTACCTCAGCCTCCCAAGTACCTGGGATTACAGTCATGCACCACCACACTTGGCTAATTTTTGTATTTTCAGTAGAGAGAGTGTTTCACCATGTTGGCCAGGCTGGTCTTAAACTCCTGACCTCAAGTGATTTGCCTGCCTCAGCCTGCCAAAGTGCTAGAATTACAGACATGAGCCACCACACCTGGTCCTCTTTTTTCTACCTATCCAAATTATCATCCTTTAGGAGGCAGCCCAAGTCAACCCTCCTTCATGAGCCTATGAACCACTGTTTTCATAGTGATTAAACCATCACGCATCACTTTATGTGAAAAATGGTAAGTAACACCACATGCCTCACCATGCCAACTGCATGCATAGCTCATTGGGAATAAAGTATATAGAAATGGGTATATAACAATAATTATAAAATGTTTTTGAAATTCACAAAACCTTATAAAAAATCTAGTTGGTAGTTGGATGAAAGATGTGAAGGGGTATGAGGTAGTGAGGTGGGAAAGTTAATGACAATTTCCAAGAGAGAGAAGCTGAAAACAGATTCTGAGATGAACGTTTTCTCAAGCCTGATAAGCCATTTGAAGCATCAGACAACAATAACTGCATCTTGAAGCATGAATCTGGGTCAGAAGCTCTGCAGAATTCATTGCTCAGTACCCAAGTGACAGAACCATTCATACCCCAAACCTTAGCCTCATGCAATATACCCAGGTAACAAGCTTACATATGTACCCCCTGAATCTAAAATAAAAGTTGAATTGAGTACATATGGACACAAAAAGGGGAACAATAGACACCAGGGCTTACTTGAGGGTGGAGGGTCAGAGGAGAGTGAGGATTGAAAAACTGCCTACTGGGGACTATACTCACTACCTGGTTGAGGAAATCATTTGCACACCAAACCCCAGCAGCATGGAATTTACCCATATTGCAAACCTGCACAGGTACCTCCTGAGTCTAAAATAAAAACTTGGGAAAACAATTTAAAAAATAAAAAAGTTTAAAAATAAAATAAGGCCAGGCGTGGTGGCTCACGCCTGTAATCCCAGCACTTTGGGAGATCGAGGTGGGTGGATCTCCTGATGTCAGGAGTTCGAGA